>NC_000011.10:80449635-80752665 GCF_000001405.40 Homo sapiens
CCTAGTTGTTGCTTTTCTTCAGCACTTCCCACAGAACTTTCTTCTGCAATGCAAATGTTCTACAATATGTTCTACTCAGTAGGTAGCCGTTGCTACAAAATGTTTAATTTTATTTAATTTTACTTAATTTATATTTAAATAGTCATTTGCGGCTAGTGGCTACTACATTAGAGTAATGTATGTTGTGTCTTCCATACATGAGAAATATTGATACTTTATACTGAATTTCTTATTTTCTTGCATAGTCTCTGTTCCTCAATTTGCATGTTCTTGTTCATTTTGGTCTTTCATATAAAAAAAGGTTTTCATATGTTTGGTGACTCTCGGCTGTCTGTTTGTGCATAAGCATAGAGCATTAAGATGATTGCCAGTTCTGTGTAAATAAAATTTTTCATCATCAGATGCATGCAGTGTAATCTGGCTGAGTCTTTGGGAAGTATTCTGAAAGTCAGTATCTTTAGGTGTTTCTCTTTACCTAGTACATTTCACCTGAGAAAAAAATTCCAAAGTGTGCCTAGACATATAAGCTGGCTGTCTGAATTCTGAAAATCAGTTAGGGAAGGAAAGCTGGGTTTCAGCTCTATTTCATGATGCAAATTTTCAGTTAATTATTTTTACTACACACCATCACCCTCAGTTGTGCTGGGTGTCCCCAAGTGTAGACATATTTTGTTTCACCTGATTTGAAGAAATCATCTAAACTTCTGATTTGATGGGGAGGAAGAGAGAGATACAGTGAGTCTCAGGCACATGGGCTGGAGGAGAGGATAAGGAGATCTAGCCTTAGATTTTCTTAAAGACACTTTCCACCAATCCCATCCTCACCTACCTCACGCCAGTTTCAGAGGTCTCTCATGCTGAGAATTCTTGAGAGATTTGAGATCTCTGGCACAAACCTGCTTTTCAGTTTCCTCACTGATGGCTTTGGATCCCATTTTTCTCAGCTAAATCAATGACTACTCAGCTTCTATTCTCAGCTTCCTGTTTTTTTCTTTTTCCTGTGTTCTGTTATCTTTCTCCTTGCAAGTTTATGCTATATTTTAGTTTTAATGCCTCTTATTGGTCATTTCAGTTGTCCTTCAGAAGTAAAAACAATATTTTTTTTTAATATACTGCCTTTAACTAGGACATTCTAGACTCACTGAATACATTATTCCAGGCAGTTCTTTCAGCAAACTTTGGATTACTATACAATCCCTATTAAATAAAGTGGAGGCTCAAAAATGTATGCAATTTCTAGAAAGTCACATAGATTACTAGATCTAGCTCTCATTCATCTGCATCATGGTCTCTGCCCACTATTCTGGCAGATAAAGTCACTCAATAGAGTAAAAATGCCAGATAGTCTCCAACGCTGACATGTCCATTTGGAAATACGCATTTCAAAAAATGCTGTGATCAGGATGCTGCCAAAATTAGCAATGCAGTTACTAGACCCTGAAGGTGATTCCATGAGGATGGAGAGTCCTTATTGCAGTGTACTAGATGTGCCATTGAGCTCTTGCATGGGCCCTTTACCCTTCACCTAGAGCAGTGGAACATCGAGCCCAAGAGGGTTCTTTATTTGTTGTTACTATTACTTGTTTGACTCTGATAAATAGGCCTATGATTTTGTTCTCTTACCCCACTTTGCTGACAGTCTTGTGGAAGGAAGTGAAACACTGTGAGTGACATGTTTATTTATGTACCTCATCTGGGACGACACCGTGACAAACAGCAGGGATGTATTTTTTCAAGCATACTTTCTGTGTCGCTTGTCAGCTCCTTATAATGAGGGGGTTGAGTTTACTGCATTTTTAGTTACATCTGAGCACCTAATAATCCTACAGCACATTAACTATAATTTGTGAATTACATCCTTCTTCTGCGAGTGCATCACTTTTTATCTCTTAGTAAAACGATTCATGTGAATCTATCTACATCACAAGGTTTCTGAGATTTTACTACCAGCCAGATGAATATATTCATCATCATTTGGCTTTTTGAATCTTCTCTGGAAATATCTTACCATTTCTTTTACCCCTTTTTATCTCAACACTTTGGCCCTCTGGGATAGCCCCTGTGACTTCTCAAAATCATGGCGGCTTGGCTGTCACCTCAAGTTCTGTGTGTCTAATGCTTAGCTCATTATCTGTACCCCGCTTGACCCCAGCTTAAACCTGTTTCTCCTGGGACCGCTTCCTCAGTTAGCAGGACCTCTTCCCTTCCTGTTACCTCAAATAGGAATCTTTGTGTTGTCTTTAGCTCTACCTCTCTAACATCTTTCCCCAGTGACTCACTGCTAAATCCTATCAATTCTACCTTGGAAATATATCTCATCCTTGTCTCCTGCTCAGCCAAAGTAAAGGGCATTCGTGTTTTCGTCCTGGTTTATTACTAGGGTTCTCCTCACTGGTGTTTGTCCCTAGCTTCACTTTTGCCATGTTACCAACATGAAGAGCAGGTCATTACTGAAAAGTTAAAGAACATATAAAGAAAAAGATTTTAAAAAGTGAAAGTGTATTTTATCTATATATCTATTACCAGAGATAATCATGGTTCTAATTTTGGTATAAATCTTTATAGATTTAAATATAAAGTATCAATACAGCATACGTTACCTGTGATATATATGTCTTATGTATTGCTTCAGTCAGTTTGGTCTACTATATCAAATTATCATAGGCTGGGCAACTTAAACATTTATGTCTCACAGTTGTGGAGACTGGGAAGTCTAAGATTAACGTGCTGGAAGATGTGGTGTGTGGTGTGGACACCTCATTCACATTTGCGGTTGGCCATCTATGTGTTATATTCTCATAAGGGTAGAAAGAAGAGAGAGAGAGAGGTGAGGAAGTGGTCATTATAGAGAGAGAAAAGGAGTGGGAGGAGAGAAAGAGTGCAAGTCCTCATGTCTCATCTTATAAGGGCACTAATTCCAAGTATTCCAACTTCATGACCTAATTTCCTACCAAAGACCTCACTTCTTAATACCAACACATTGGAGATTAGAATTTTAACATATGAGTTTGGAAGGGTGGTCACAAACATTCAGTCCACAAAACATATCATATATTACTGAGACTATGATAAACTGTTTATACTTTGAATTAACTGAATTTGAATTATTGTTCAAACAATAATTCAAAATTATTTCCAAAATTAATGCGTTTTGCTACTTTCTCACTTAGAAACCAAAAATGATGCCTGACTAACAAGAATAAATTTGAAACTCAGCAAGTAATGAGATCCTGCAAAATTGGCTTGACTTGCTTCTCTGGTCTCATTCTCTACCACATTTATTTAATTCCATGGGTCTATTTGCTGTTCCTTTGAGCAAGCCAGCTGCTCAGGGGCCTTGACATCTTTGAAAGTTTTGGCTCCTGCTGGCTCTGATGGGCCTCCAGAGTCCCTGATCTAGTATCTGCCACCTGAAATTTCACCCATCAAAATTTTGCTTGGGCTGTAAGTAGCCACTCTAAGTCCATTATTTATTTGTTTATTTATTTTTTAAAAGCTCCACCAATTTTTCTCTCAGAACAAACTTTATTTCCTTGAGTTTCCACAGATCTTTTGAGCATGTATTCATTATTTATGCATTTCCTTTAGAATGAGCTACAAGCTTTAGAGTCATAAAGACGAAGTCTCAACACTTGATTCTGTATCCTACCAGTTGTGTTATCCCAAAGGACTTAATCTCTTAGGTTTCTCATAGGAATCTTATAGTACTTAATCTCTTTATGTCTAAAAAGAAAAGACCCTTTTTAGTACCATTATATAGATGAGGGAAGAGAAAAATAAAAGTTTTCGTAATGTCACTCAACACATTAGAGGTAGAATTAGCAATCTTCGTCTGTTTGACATCAAAGCCTATATTCCTAATGGACAATGTTATACCAGTTGTTTGGTTTTTCTCTCTTAAGAGAAACTGGTGTAGATGCCCAATTCAGATGTGCTCATGGATGTCACTTCTCATTCTAACAGACTTTCAAGTGATCGTGAACACTGTTGTGGCTGCCATAACAAATTAGCACAAACTGGATGGTTTAAAACAATAAAAATGTATTATTTCATAGTTCTGGAAGATATAAGTAAAAATAAAGGTGTCATAAAAGCCATGCTTCCTCTGAAGACTCCAGGGAGGTGCCTTTCCTTGCCTCTTCCTAGCTTCTTTTGGTAGCTGGCATTCCTTCACATGCTCTTTCAATCCTGTCTCTGTCATCACATTACTGTCTTCCCTGTGTGTCTCTGTGACTTATGAGGAAAAGAGTCATTGGATTTAGGGGATACCCTAATCTACAGTATCTCATCTTAACTTGACTGAACCTGCAAAGATCTTTTTTTCACATAAGGTTATATTCATGGGTACAAAGGGATAGGACTTGAACATATCTTTCTGGGAGACACAATTCAACCCAGTAAAACTTTCTCTCTGACTTCCAAAAAGTCACATCTTTCCTACGTACAAAATAAATTTCCCCCAGCCCAACATCTTCAAAAGTCTTAACTCATTCCAACATGAACTTTTAAGCCAAATCTTACCTAAATATCACAACTTGAAAAATTCCAAATCTCACTACTTACATCATCTCAGTCAGTTTTGGGTAAGACTCTGGGCATTATTCATTCTAGGGCAAAATTATTTTCCATTTCTGGATCTATAATACTAAGAAACAAGCTATCTTCTTCCAAATACAATGCTGGGGCAGGTGTAAGATAGACATTTTCACTCCAAATGAGGATAAAAGAAATTGAAGGAATAAAAGAGTCACTGGACTAAAGTTAATTCAAAACCCAGTAAATCCTATCAGATTTTAAAATGTGCAAATAATCCTCTATTGCTGGGTGCCCTATCCTCTGAGCCCTCTCTGGGTAGCCCTATCTTCTTTGTCCATCTCCTAATTGTAGAATTTTGGAAGTCCAATAGCCTTCTTTCATTCTATCTCCTCTGTCCCCTCCAGTGAGGCTGGCTGTGTTCCTTTATATACATCATTCATTTTCAAAAGCCCTGTTAGTTCTCTGTGGATGTCAAGGGGCATCCATGTCATGAGACATGAGGGCTCTCCACAGGTCTTTCCTAGATAACCCCTTCTCTATTCCTGGCCTCTGCCAAGATGCTTGATTTATTCCGTAAGTCACACCTAATTTTGTCAGCAAAGGTTTGTCTAGTCACAGCCTTGAGCATGCTGTCTGAATAGGCTAAGGATTTTCTAAGACATCAGGCATTGGCTTATTTTTCTTAGCAGTTTTTTCTCCAGAAAAAAAAAAAAAAAAAAACAGGACACACCTTCCCTATTTTCTGTGATCCAGAAAAACCAGGCCATACCTTCCATATTTTGCTTAGAAATTTCCTCAGGTAAATATTGAAGTCATTACTTACAAATTTTACTTTCCATCTAACACTAACACACAATTCAGTTATGTTCCCTGTCACTTTGTAGGAAGTGCCCCCTTTACTCCTGTGTCCAATAACGTGCTCCACATTTCCCTCTCAGACTTCACCAGAAGCACCCTTAGTGTTCAAATTTCTAAAGACATCCTGCTGTTTATAATGATATATGTATTCTCTAAAATGAGAAAAGCTTTACCTGCCATCCTCTTCCCTTCCTTCTGAGTCCTTACCAGAATCAACTTTAACATCCCTATTATTACCAACAATCTCCTCCAGGCAATCTAAGCTTTTACTATAATTTGTCTCAAAACTCCACTAGCTACTACCCATTACATAACTCTACCATTACTTCCACATTTTTAGATTCTTGTTACAGCAGCGCTCTACTCCATGGTGCCAAAATCTGTATTAATTTCTTAGGATAACTATAACTAAGTACCCATAAACTGGGTGGCTTAAAACAATATAAATTTATTCTTTCATAGTTCTTGAGGCTAGAAGTCCAAAATGTACATGTTGGAAGAGACATAATTGCTCTGAAGACTCTCAGGAAAATCCTTCCTTGTCTCTTTCTAGTTTCTGGTGGTTGCTGTCAATCCTTGGCATTCCTTGGCTTGTTCGTTTCAATCTCTGTGTCTGTTGTCACATGATCTCTCTGTGTGTCTTCACATGGCCTTCTTATAAGGATACAAGTCATTGGTTTCAGGGCTCACTCTGATCTAGTAGGACCTCATATTAACTTGATTATATATCTGCAAAGACACTACTCCAAATAAGGTCATATTCACAGGTACTGGAGGTTAGGACCTGAATAATTCAAATTTGGAGGAATATAATTCAGAGTAGAACACACACATCATTATGAAACCTCAGTACTTGAGAGAGACAAATTGAATAGTATGAGATATTTCAAAATTTATTTGAATTAAGACCAATAAGTTCTTTAACGTTTTTTTAAATAGAATTTTCAGCAAATTGAGTTTTTAAAAGATGATGAGTCATCTTGTTTTTGGAATAAGAGAAACTTACAGTGTGCAGGTACTTTGTATTTTTCAGCAATGGTGAGAATTTTTTTAAAACTTTAAGTATCTCCATTTTTCTCATGAGGATGAATCCAGGGCCACCTGGAAAGATGTGGCCAGCCTCTCTCTCAGAGATGGAAATGAAGCTCTACAATAGAGATTTGCAGTTTCTGCTGCTGTTAATTTTCAAAAACAAAGGGCTAATGTTGACTATTTTTGAGCTTTAAGAACAATTATTTTCCAGCCATAAGAATAGAACTCAGACAGTCATTTTTTGTTCTCTAAAATCTGCATTAATTGGAAACTGAGACTTGTACTTGACACTAAGTAAAATAAAAAATCTTAATGTGATCACCAGTAGAATTTCAGAACTTGAAAATACCTTTTAGATTATCTAATAAAACAACTCTTGTTTTATAGATAGACAACTTGTTGATATAAAGAGGGCAAATGACTTACTCAATGCCAAATAATGTATTCACATCAGTGTCTGTAAACATCGTAAGAATTTTTATAATTAATGTGACGAACAGGAGAAGCACAAAAGCATATGTCTGTGGGTGTCAATGGGTACTTGCACACCTGTATTTTATATTGTGGATTATGTTTTTCTTGTGATAGTAGATTAGTGAAAGGTGCTGTCATATACACATGTATATAAATTAATGTCTATATTGTTATTGATCCAACTGGCAAGATCAAGTTCCCAGGTAACACTTCTACTAGATAATAGAACAAATATTAGCATGCTGTGGTTGTTGTCAACTAATAGGCATTGGGTCACAGATAGATTTTCTTGTTTCTAGTTGTTCATAAAAACATTCACTGACTATATCTGACATTATTTGTAATAGATGTGTGGACAAAGATCACCACGACAGAAATTGACAGTTAAGACACACACACACACACACACACACACACACGACAGTAATTGTTTAAATTTTTCAAAGCACACATACTGAAATTTTAATTATAATATATTTATATTAACAAAATATACTAGTGATAAATATATATTTTCTGTAAGGTTTATAATAGTTTTCTTCCACCACCTCCCCGCTCCCCACTTTAACAACAACAACAAAAATCTACCACTTGTTATATAGGTAGGTTTTAAAATTACCAGAGATGATTTTGTCTGATGATTTTATCTTGTATCTGATAACCTGGTTTTAAAATATTCACAATAAATGATCATTTATAAACACATGCACTAAGTTAATGTGTTGTATAATGTCACTTACATAGCAATTTGAATAATTCCTTGTCATACAGATATTCAACATTTGTAGCTGACTCCTTATCCATCGAATTCCACACAGTTTGAGTGAACATCTTAGCCTTGCTTCCCCCTGTTCCCACAGTCACCATTGAGAATGTACCATCCCTGACCCTGACCCCAGCTTGACCTGTGTTTTCCTGCTTCCCGGGCTTTATCTTTTTCACAGCATCTTTTCTGCCTATCAGAATCATAGGTATTTTTAAGGCAGAGAGAAAATGATAATTTTCTACAAAGACTTTTATGAAAATGTACCATTCTGTTTTTCTTCTACTAGATGATTCTATTTACACATGTATTGAACAATTATTTTATTCTGCATTAGTTACAAAGAACTCACCATAGGACTTGTAAATCTTTATGGTACTGAGAATAGAGCTCAGCACATATTTATTTTCTTCCCTCTCTCCTCGACTTCTACCCAAGGGAGAGTTACGATTTTGTTGGGTAATAAAAAAAGAAATTGGACCAGGGACAGGGGGGAAAGTGGAGTGGTAGGGTTGAATGCCCGTCATGTTCTAGGCATAGTACAAGGAAATGGGAACATAGGAAGATGAGTAGGACAATGTTCCTGATGACAAAGAGGTCATAGTCATATGTCAGACTAGTAAGGTAACTGGCAACTGCAAGAGAATGTAATAGCAGCTCCATTGCCTGCACACATAGTGTTCTATGGGAATAACATGAGAAGCACAGATGTAGGGAGCGTATGTTAGCCTGAGGCAAGCACATTGCAAGAGAATTGTGAACAATAGCTAAGGCATAAGCCCTGGACAGTGGAGGAAATAGGGCTAAAGGATATTCCAACCATACATAAGCCGCCAAAGCAAGACAGAGAGACAAGATAGAACACTGAGTGCTTAAAAACTACAAGCACACTGCAGAAGAGACCTGGTGACCTGAAAGGGTTTTTTTGTTTTGTTTTAAATACAAAGGAATACAGAAATGGCTACATGCTCTGATTCTCCTTCACTGTGTGTGTGTGTTGGGGCGGGTTGGGGGGCAGCATGTAAATATGTAACGGGCTTCCTGATGACTGTGCATTCAAACTAAAATTTCACAGAAAAGTAATCGGAAGGGCCAAAAGTTCATTATGGTTGATTTTTGCTTCTCTCTTGTTTTTTTAAGCACAAAAACAGTCAAACAGAAAGACTTTTGTCAGACATCTGCCACCTCCAGTAACTTTTTGGAATGATTACAAAAATGCATATCCCAGTCATAAAGATTTAACAAAATATTCTCCTGCCATTTATAGTAATGCTACCAAATGACAAGTTCAAATTACTTGTTGTGATTACTCTTCATCTGGGCAAAACACATGTTGTAATGTATTCACAAGATGCAATTACATCAACTTCCATGACATGGAATAACAACACCGGAAAAAAGCTAATCACACACAATACACATACTGTTTAGATTTTTCCCAACCACGTTTTTTTTTTTTTTCTATATTGCAATCTGTTCAACATTTGGACTAATCACTTACTCTTTTTTTTTGTTTTGTAATATGCAAGGTATCAGTGGAGTTAGACAAGTGTCAAAAAAGTCAATAAAATGATTATCAATGTATATTCCATATTTGCACATTTCAACGATATCTAAAAGAGATAGTGGCCTCATCATATTCGCAGGTAATACTATTAGACTACTTACAGAATTTGGTTTTGTGACAATTTTAAAGGAGAAATCATTCTGTAAGACAAAATAAAATATATTCTTCAAGAATAGTTTTAGCAACTCTATCCTGGATATTTTAATAAGTGGCTTGTAATTTTTCTGCATTAATAAAAGAATGCGGCATACTATGTTTAAAATATTCTACATTCATTGACACTTGTGTTTACTTTATTGGCCTTCCTAAATCATCCTTTTCTTCTGACTTCGCTCTGTCTCCCTGGGGATATCTCATTTATTCCCATCTCTATTTCTAAACTGCACCTCTCTTCTAACCACCATGGCTACATGTTTGAGCATACATACAACAGGCATTTTAACCTGTATGTCTTCAAAATCAGCATATACAAGTTAAATTCACCACCTGAACTGATCACTGCACTTCCTCTGTATCAAAACATGCCCTTTCATTAGTGTTCTCAGTCTCAATTAATAGCATCACTATCCAAACTAGTAACATCTGAGTAATATTTGAATCATCATTCTCTCTTTTGCCCACTCCTAATAGGACACCAAATATTGTTAATGATCTCTGATAAATGTGTCTCATGTTTATCATCTTTTTCCAGCCTCATTTTTGTTGCTAATTTTCAGGTCCTGATAGTTCATCAGAATATTGCAAAATGAAATGCATGTTTAAGTAGAGTCATTATTCCATTTACACACCTTCCTTTTTTTTTTTTTTTTTTTTTTTTTTTTTTTTTTTTTTGGAGATGGAGTCTCATTGTTGTTGCCCGGGCTGGAGCACAATGGCGCAATCTCGGCTCATTGCAACCTCCACCTCTTGGGTTCCGGCAATTCTCCTGCTTCAGCCTCTCAAGTAGCTGAGATTACAGGTGCCCACCACCATGCCTGGCTAATTTTTGTATTTTTAGTAGAGATGGGGTTTCTCCATGTTGACCAGGCTGGTCTCGAACTCCTGACCTCAGGTGATCCACCCTCCTTGGCTTTCCAAAGTGTTGGGATTACAGGCGTGAGCCACCACGCCCAGCCACACCTTCCTACTTCTTCAGCAGCATTATTATCAACCCCATTCTGGAGCTATAAAACTAATGTATTAGAAACTTCCCCTTCTTTTATCTTTTCTCACTCATCTGTGAAAAAATATGGTAACTTTAAAAATATCCCTAATATCTATTTATGTATTTTCATTTTATTTCTACTGCCCTAGTTCAGGTTCTCATCATTTATTACATAAACTATTTCAACTGAATAGTAACTAGTCCTCCTACCCTTACTCACAAAATTTGCTTCGATTTTTTTAAAGTTAAAAATGAAACTATGTAGTTCCTCTCCTCAAAATATTTTCAACAAATCTAAACAGGTAAGTACTGTGGAGTTTTGAAACCCTTAAAAATTACAGTCTACTAGATGTGAGCTGGGGCCCTGAATCGGTATTTTTCTTAATTTCTTCAAAAGATAATGGACTACTTAGGGCAGAAATAAAAACAATTTATCATGAAGCAGAAACAGATATAAAACTAAGCACAGTATCGATAGCACGAAGAACAGGAAAAGAGTAAATTGAAGTCTATTGTGATAATCTTCATATACATGAAATAGCATAATATTAATATGTGGTAAACTATAGTAAATTAAAAATGTATACTGCAAAGTCTAGAGTAACACTAGCAATATAAATATATAAAGATGCATACTTAAGAGCCAATATTTTAAATAAAATGGAATAACAATTTACTCAAATAACTTTTTTTAAAAGACAGGAAACTGGAACAAAAACAATGGCACAAATAGAAATATACAAACTGATTAAACATAAAAGAAGGGAAAAAAATGCTACGCCAACACAAGTCCCAAGAAAGCCAGAGTGGCTGCTTTAGTATTAAGCAAAGTAGGCTTCTGAGCAAAAAATATTATTAGCAATTTAAAGAAAGCTATAATGATAAAAACCTCAATCTATCAAGAGGATGTGTATAAATGTGTATGTGCCTAAAATGGAATGCCAAAATATGTAAAGCAGAAATGGACAAATCTGAAGAAAACATACACAAATCAACCAAATTATAGTTGGAGACATTAAAAATCCCTCTTTTATTAATTGAGTTAATAGCCCCAAAATTTCAGTAAATATAGAGAAGACTTCAACAATATCAGCAAACTTGTCGTAATTCAGAGTTACGGAAGATTCTACTCAAATAGCAGCAAATGTGTATCATCTTCAAGAGCACAAGAAACACTGAAATACGAACCAAGAAAGATCATATGCTATACCAAGAAACAGTTCTAAATAAGTTTTAAAGGATTGAAATAACATATAGTACGTTCTTGATCATGACAAAATTAAATTTTGAAATTCTACAATTATGTGGAAGTAAAGCAACACATTTCTAAATATCCATGGGTTACAGAAGATATCACAAGTAAATTAGAAAACATTTTTAACTAAATGAAAATAAAAATACAACATATCAAAATTTGTGGAATCCATTTATAAAAATATTGATATTAAAATTTGCTTACACTATAAAAAAGAAAGACTGCAAATCAACGAAATAAGCTTCTATTAAAATACAGATGAATAAAACAAATTAAGTACAAAATAAACAGAAGAAATAGCAATAAACAAATATTTAGAAGTCAACAAATAGAAAATGGAAACAATAGAAAAATGAACAACAAAATCAAGGACTGTTTTTGGAAAATATCTATAAAATTAAAATTTTTAAAAAGACCAAGAACAGTTGAATTTGTCAATAAAAACAGAGAAAGTACAAGTTACCAATACCAAAAACGAAAAGGCAGCATTACCACTTGCCTTAGAGGGATACTAAAAAAAAATAATAATAACGGATTGTTATGATCAAATTTATGACAATAGTTTTTTTTATAAACTTAAGAGATGGGCAGTTTTTTGAAAAATAAAATGTGCTAAGACAGACATAAGAAGAAACAAAACCATGGTAGCATATTAAATTAAAATGTTAATAAAAATTTTATAATTAAACTATGTTCTAAAAAGAGAACTGCAAGCCCAATGGCTTTAATAGTAAATTTTATCATACATTTAAGGAAGAAATGTAACCAAGCTTTCCAAATACTTCAGAAAACAGAGGAAGAGTGGGTGGCAGCCAAGATGGCAGACTACAAGCAGCCAGAGTGTGCTGCTCTCACCCAGAGAAATGGAAGAAGCGAGTAAACACAGTACCTTCAACTGAAACATCCAGGTACATGCATTTGGATTAATCAAGGAAACAACTCAACCCACGGAGAATGGAGAAAAGCAAGGCAGTACAACAGCACACCCAGGGGCAGGAGGGACAGGGAGCCAGGGGAACCTCCCTCCACCAAGGAAAGGTGAGTGGATGAGCAACCCTGGGAATCCACGCTTCTTCCAGGGATCTTTGCACCTCTTGAGTCAGGGGATCCTCTCATGAACCCAGTAGGTTCTTCTAGTCTGACTCACAGGGCTTCAGTCTGACTCACAGAACTATGTGCTGCTCATGCACACATGGAGACGGGGAACCTTAGATACCTGGGCTTTCCCAGCTTCAAGGCAAAAGCAGCTGCAACTCCAGCAAAGCCAGAAGTTAGGCCTCTGTACATATCCCTAGGAAAGGAGCTGAATCCAGGGGGCTGAAAAGCAACAGTCTGCAGGCCCTGCTTCCATAGCACCTCATACAATAAATCCACTAGCCTGGAACTTCAGCCAGCCACCAGTAGCAGCATTATACCTCCCTGAGATGGAGCTCCCGGGTGAGACCGCCATCTTTGTTGTTTGGGTGACTTAGCCAATCCTGCCTTTGGGCTTTGGAGAGTCCAAGGCAACTGGGGACTGGTGCACCCTCAGCATAGCACAGCTGCTCTACAAAAACATGGCCAGACTGCTTTTTAAGCATGTCCCAACCCTGTTTCTCCTCACTACGTGGGACCTCCCAACTGTGGTCTCCGGCTACCCCTACCGGTGTTTTCCAGCTGACAGAGGTTTCAAACCTCCCTGGGACAGAGCTCCCAGAGGCAAGAGTGGGTCGCCATCTATGTTGTTTGAATGACTTAGTTGTTCTGGCCTTCCGGCTCTGGAGAGTACGAGGCGACCAGGGCCTAGAGCAGACCGATAGCACAGCACAGCTACTTTATGAAAATGTGTCCAGACTACTTTTTAAAGCGGGTCCCTGATCCTAGTCCTCCCCACTGGGCAGGACCTCCAAACTGGGGTCTCCAGCCACCTCCTACAGGTGCATTTGGGCTGGCAATAAGTCCATACCTCCCTGGGATGGAGCTCCCAGAGAGAGGGTCAGGCCATCACTTTGCTGTTTTGCAGCCTTCACTGTTGATACCTTCAGATACCTGAAAATCTGAGGTGCCTAGGGACTGGAGTGGAACCACAGCATACAGCAGCAGCCCTACAGAAGAGTGGCCAGACTGTTACGTGGGTGCCCATTCCCATATCTCCTCACTGGGCAGGTCCTCCAGGCCTGGGCTTCCTGCCACCTGCTGCGGTTGCTATTGAGCCAGGAGCAGTTCTGCAATTTCCTGGACAGAGCTCCCAGTAAGAGGGGTGGGTTGCCATCTCACCTGTCTTACAGTTCTTGCTTATGCTGTCTCCAGGCTTGGGATAGTCTGTGGGGACCAGGGGCTGATCTGGACCCCCAGCACAGAGCAACCAATTCACAGAAAAGTGGCTAGACTGTTCTCCATGCAGATCCTTGTCCTCACTTCTCTTCACTGGGCAGGGGCACCCGCCCTGGAACTCTAGGACAACCAATCCTGCTCCTGCATGATCACCACAAACAGGCTGTCCAGCATTTACCCAAGGAGGAAATCCCAGCGTCAACCCACAACCCCTCTTTCACTACAGTTGAAGTGGTACAGCCCCAACAGCCCTTGGCCTCAGAAGGAACGAAAGGCCTAGTCATCATGCTAGCACCTCCAACATACTACAGCCACCATACCGAGAGGAGTCCAGCTACTCTTCCCTCGGAACCCCCACTCTACTCTTCACCAGACAGGGCTCCTGGTTCATGAATGTAGAACTGTTGCCACACCCATGGCTAACCATACCCACTGGTAACAGTCTGGAGCTTCTCCAGGAAGAGGCTCCCAGAGGCATACAACAGCCTGTCTGCCAATGCCACCATAACAGTTCTATCCCTGCTGCCTATGGTCTGGGGAAAAAACTAAGAGGCTGCTACACCAGTGTACAGCATACCACAGACACCATACAGAGAGGAGACCTCTCTCTCCTCCCTGTGAGCCTTTGACCCCCTGCTGCACAACAAGTGGAGAACCAAGCTCATGCCAGTAGTGCAGCTGCCCCCACCTCTCTGGCTGAACACCCCCAGTAACAGTGGCTCTGCATTTCTTGGGGGCGAAGGCCCCAGGAGCAACTGAAAGCCTCTGTGCCACTGTCTCTGCCGTGGAAGTACCCTTGCTACCCTCAGACTAACGAAGGAGTAAGGACCCTAAGTACCTTAACCAGACCTCCAACAAACTGCAGTTGACTCAAGGAGAAGGTGGCCAGTTTGTCTCCCGTGGGTCCCACCCTGCTCATCATGACAGGGAACCCTGAGCTTGGGCCCACAGCACAGACTGCCCATCCCAGGCTGATTGACCTGAGCGATTGCTGACCTGCATCTCTCTGGGATGGAATCCCCAGGAGACAAGAAAAAGACCCTTGGCCACAACCACTATGAAGGTCCTTCCCTCTTCTGCCTCCAAGTTGGGGAAGGAACAAAAACCCTGAGATCACCCCAGAGCTGCAGTGGGCAGCCCAGGAGTCAAGCTGCAATCTACAGTCAGTAGATCATCATGATTCAGAAGAATAGCAAAACTCAATCCAAGCAAACTAAGAATCACAATCAAATGACACAGGGGCTGAAGGACAAAATAGCCAGTATAAAAAAGAACCTAATGGATCTGACAGAGCTGAAGAACACAATGCAAGAATTTCATGATGTAGTCACAGGTACTAACAGCAGAATAGACCAAGCTGAGGAAAGAATCTCAGAACTTGAAGACTGGCTTTCTGAAATAAGACACTCAGACAAAAACTGAAGAAAAAACTTTAAAAAGAATGAACATAATCTCCAGGAGATATGGGATTTTGTAAAGATGCCAACTACTAATCACTGGCATTTCTGAAAGAGATGAGGAAAAGGTAAACTTGGATAACATGTTTCAGGATATCACCCATGAAGACTTTCCCAACTTTGCTGGGGAGGCCAACAGTCAAATTCCGGAAATGAAGAGGACCCCTGCAAGATTCTACACAGGAGGATCATCTACAAGACACATAACCATCAGATTTTCCACGTCTGAAATGAAAGAAAGAATGTTAAAGGCCGCTAAAGAAAAAGGGCAGATCATCTACAAAGGGAACCCCATCAGGCTAACAGCGGCCCTCTTGGCTGAAACCCTACAAGCCAAAAGAGACTGGGGGCCTATATTCAACAATCTTAAAGAAAAAAGTCTTCAACCAAGAACTTTATATCCAGCCAAACTAAGCTTATAAGTGGAACCATTTCAGATAAGCAAATGTAGAGGGAGTTTGTTACCACCAGACCTGCCTTACAAGAAATCTTGAAAGGGGCACTACATATAGAAAGGAAAGACCTTTATTAGCTAATACAAAAACACACTTACATTCACAGGCCAGTGACACTATAAAGCAACCACACAAACAAGCCAGCATCATAACCAGCTAACAACACAATGACAGGATCAAATCCACACATATCAATACTAACCTTGAATGTAAATGGGCTAAATGCTCCACTTAAAAGGCACAGAGTGGCAAACTAAATAAAAAGGCAAGATATGCTGTTTTCCAGAGGCCCATCCCACAACTAGTGACACCCATGGGCTCAAAATAAAGAGATGGAGGAAAATCTACCAACCAAATGGAAAGCAGAAAAAAGCAGCAGAGGTTATAATCCCAATTTCAGGCAAAGCAGACTTCATATCAACAAACATAAAAAAAAAAAAAGACAAAGAAGGGCATTACATAATACTAAAGAGTTCATTTCAACAAGAAAGCCTAACTATCCTAAATATACATCCAGTCAATACAACAGCACCCAGATTCATAAAGCAAGCTGTTTTTTTTTTTTTTTTTTTTTTTTTGAGATGGGGTTTCGCTCTTGTTGCCCAGGCTGGCGTGCAATGGTGCCATTTCAGCTCACCACAACCTCCGCCTCCCGGGTTCAAGCAATTCTCCTGCCTCAGCCTCCCGAGTAGCTGGGATTACAGGCAAGCACCACCACGCCTGGCTAATTTTGTCTTTTTAGTAGAGACAGGGTTTCTCCATGTTGGTCAGGCTGGTCTCGAATTCCTGACTTCAGGTGATCTGCCTGTCTCAGCTTCCCAAAGTGCTGGGATTACAGGCATGAGCCACTGCACCCGGCAAAGCAAGTTCGTAGGCACCTACAAAGAGATGTAGACTCCCACACAATAATGGTGTTAGACTTCAACACCATACTGACAGTATTAAACAGATTATCAAGGCAGAAAATTTACACAGATATTCAGGACCTGGACTCCACAATGGACCACATGGATCTGATAGACTTCTACAGAACTCTTCATCCAAAAACAGCAGAATGCATATTCTTCTCATTGCCACATGGCATGTACTCTAAAATCAACCACATGATTGGACATAAAACAATCCTCAGCAAATGCAAAGGAACTGAAATTATAACAAACACACTCTCCGACCACAGCACAAATAAAATAGAAGTCAAGACTAAGAAAATAACTTAAAACCACAACTAGATACCACCTCACACTAGTGAGAATGGCTA
This sequence comes from Homo sapiens, assembly GCF_000001405.40. NCBI lineage: Eukaryota > Metazoa > Chordata > Mammalia > Primates > Hominidae > Homo > Homo sapiens. The sequence continues at coordinate 80,466,748 of NC_000011.10, forward strand.
TTACTAAAAAGTCAAAATGTCAATCTCTCCAGCCTGTGGCCAGGTTGTAGAGAAAAGGGAACAGCTGTACACTGTTGGTGTGAATGTAAATTAGTTTAACCATTGTGGAAAGCAGTATGGTGATTCTTCAAAGGGCTGAAAACCAAACTACCATTTGACCCAGAAATACCATTACTGAGTATATACCCAGACAAATATGAATTATTCTACCATAAACATACACATGAATGTTCATTGCACCACTATTCAAATTAGCAAAGACATGGAATCAACCTAAATGCTCATCAATGATAGATTAAAGAAAATGTGGTACATATACACCATGGAATACTATGCGGCCATAAAAAAGAATGAGATAGTGTTTTTTGCAGGAACATGGATAGAGCTGGAGGCTATTATCCTTAGCAAACTAACACAGGAAGAGAAAACCAAATACAGTATGTTCCCAGTGGGAGCTGAATGATGAGAACTCATGAACACAAAGAAGGGAACAATAGACACTGGGGTCTACCTGAGGGTAGTGGGTGGGAAAAGGGAGAGGAATAGAATAAATAACTATTGGTTACTAGGCTTAGTACCTGGTTGGCAAAATAATATGTACAACAAACCCCCATGATATGAGTTTACCTATGTAACAAATCTGCACATGTACCTTCAAACCTGAAATAAATGTTTAAAACAGAGATCTGAGCAGGCTAACAGAACTAATAATAAACTTATGTGTCACAGAAGAAAATAGAGAAAGAACTTGTCAACTCAATTTATGAGGCCAGTGCTATCCTGATATCAAAATATCTAAAAAGATATATAAAAATATATATTTTATAAGACATATATATTATATATCTTACATATAAATATAAATATTTTAAAATTTTTTATAAATATATATAAATATAAAGGGGAGCAGAGAACAATATCCATCATGAACATACGCAAAAAAGTCTTTGAAATAATAGTAATGTATCAAATCTAGATCACAGAATTAGTAGCTAAGAATGTTATAACAGCTATTGTAAATGAATATGTTAATGAAGGTAGAGGAGAGCATAAACATGATGAAAATAGAGAAACAGTATATTTTTTAAAAAAGGCCCAAAGAAAATTTCTAGAAATCAAAAAATCTAGTATCTCAAAATAAAAATTCATTAGATTTAAAAAATACAGGCTAATCAGATAATGCAAAAGAAAGCAATGACTTATAATAGAAAATTTCAACATTGAAGCATGCACATGTGCGCACGCATGCACACACACAAAATCATTGAAATAAAATTAATGGGATCAGTGAGCTGTGGGACAATATTAAGTGACCACACTGACATATAATTGAAGTTCCAGAAAAGAAAGAAAAAGAGGAGTTGAACAGAACAACCATTGTCAAAATTCAATATCTATTCATAATAAAACTTGTTGGAAAACTAGGATTAGAAAGGAATTTCCTCAACCTGATAACAGGCATATATAATAATTATACAAATAATATTATATGTAATGGTAACAGAATGACTGATTTCCCATTAAATGTGCTTTCACTATTTCTATTTAAAATTATACTAATATTTTAAGATAGTATGATAAAGTAAGAAAATTAAAGGCATAAAAAAGTATAAATATGGCTGGGTGCGGTGGCTCACACCTGTAATCCCAGCACTTTGGGAGGCCAAGGCAGGTGGATCACGAGGTCAAGAGATTGAGCACATTCTGGGCAACATGGTGAAACCATGCCTCTACTAAAAATACAAAAATTAGCTGGGTATGGTGGCATGTGCCTGTGGTCCAGCTACTCAGGAGGCTGAGGCAGGAGAATCCCTTGAACCCAGGAGGTGGAGGTTGCAGTGAGCTGAGATCACGCCACTGCATTCTAGCCTGGCGACAGAGTGAGACTCCATCTCAAAAAAAAAAAATGTATAAATATTCACAGAAGACATAACTATGTAAATAGAAATTGATTTTTTAAATCTAACGAAAATATCCTTATTTAGCAAGATTATAAGTTACTTGGGTAAATTTACCAAAACCTATTGTGTACCTATAAGCAAATGGGAAACAACATTGAAAACTACAACATCCTGAAAATAGTTTATCTTAAAAGACCCAAATAAACAACGACGTATATTTATAAATTATATTGTTAAGACTGCATTATATTATTATCAGTACACCAATTATTTCTGACTTGATCTCTCTCTCTCTCTTTTGATCTATACAATACCAATCCAATTCCCAGTGGGCATTCTTGTAGAAATTGACAATCAATTATAAAATTTATATATAAAGAACATAGAATGACAAATATATATTTTTAATGTCAAAAATAAAGTTGGAAGACTCATGATACTAACTTCTAAACTTATTACAGTAATCAACACAATGAGGTATTAGCAAAGAGATAAATCAATACACAGAACTGAATAAATAGACCATAAATTGACTAACACTTATACAATTGATTAATTTCCTACAAAGTCACCAAAACAAAGGGTAAGAAAATTTTTTTCAACAAACGGTGCTAGTGCTGGAACGATTGGGCATCCATATCAAGTACAGGGGTAATCTTGATATTTACCTCATAGTGTATGGAGAATATATTTTTAGATCAAATATACACCTAAACATAAATGCTAAAATTCTAGAAAAACATATGGAAAAATATCTGTGAGGTAGGAACAGGCAAAAAAGAAAAAGAAAAAGAGTTTAGGCAAGCAAAATAACACCAATACATTGATATAATCGAATTTATCAAAGTTAAACCTGTTGCTTATCAAAAAGCTCTGAAATAAAATCAATATGTAAGTCATAGACTGGGGACATATTCACAAAACATACTTGACAAAGGACTTTTATCCACAATATATTAAAAACATTTACAACTACGTTACAAATAGACAAACACAATCTAATTAAAACTGGTCAAAACACTTGAATAGATCAATAGGAAAGACAAAGAAATGGCCAATAAACACATTAAAAAGTGTACAACATGATTAACACTTACAGAAATGCAAATTAAAATCAGAATAAGATATTACTACACATTTCTTGGAATGGTAAATTTTTTAAAGTAAAGCAACCTCAAATATTCATGAGAATGTGATTTGCTGGTGAAGATGTAAGTTACACCTATTTAGAACATTATATCTAGCTACATGCTCCAGCAATACCAATCTTAAGTATTTGTCCAAAAGAAATGAAGACATTTACTTAGGCAAATCTGAGCTCACTAAAACTTCTAGTGAACATCAATCAGATCTGTTACAGTTCTTAAAATTCACTGTTTAATGATCCTTTTATGAGTTGGACTTTGGCAATACAGCTGTAATGCATTTTATTCAAGTGATTTCCCTGAATAGGTTTATCCAATTATCCAGTCACCACCCCTGTTTAATTAGAAGTCGGCATGTGGTAAGAAATTGGGCTACAGTCGAGTCATTCCTGTTTTCATAGACATCTGACTTTTATTATATAATAGATTCTATAATGCACACAAAGAGCTAGAAGAAATGTTCTCATTTCTGTAACAGACAGTCATTTGTCCCCTATTTCTAAGTAGGAGCAGATATGAAATAAGATGCTACATTATGTGCAGAGAAGTAGGGATATTTTCCTCTGTACATGGAAATACTTTAACCCCTCTCTGCCCATATACACATGCGGTCCATTGGTTGTCTTCCCAGCAACTATTCTACTCCAAACATTTTCACTAAGCTTTTCATAGGAATTCAAATATCCTTGCTAGTGATTGTTTAGAAAGGGGCATATACATCAATCTTAATCAATGAGGTATTAAAAATATCTACTCGGGCTTCTGGGGAAAAAGCCATCATTTCTAAGAAAGAGATACAGGAAGAAGCATCCATATGTGACATCTGGACATGCAGAGACTATCTTACTATAGCCTGAACATAAAACTTACACCAAGCAGTCAGAGAGGAGAAATGGAAAGCATCTTGGCCCTTGAAGATATTGTTGCACTGCTAATTATATTAAGATTAGCATTCCTCCTACCCTTAGTCTTGTAGTAGGTGAGATAATTAATTTCCCTATTTGGTAAACATTTATGAATCAGATTTTCTATTAATTGTAACCAAAGGCATCCAAAGAGATACACAAACACAAAGAAACTGTGTTCTAATTGTTAGCTACATGTGGAATTTGGTGGACTTTTGCAAGTTAGCCTGGTGTCTGAGCCATCCTTTACCTGATTGTCACTTTTGTTTTCATACTATTGAAAAGAGAAAAGGTGCAGTGAAAAAGGACGGTGACTTTGAGTTACAACATTCTGGGTTGGGTTTAGTTTGTTCACAAACTACTGTGTGATCTTGGAAAATAACCTTGTTGAATCCTGGTTGCTCCTTTTGGAAACTTTTGTGGAGCTTCTATACAAATTGAATGGCATAATACATGTAAGACATTTAACACAGGGCCTGGCAAAGAAGAGGTGCTTGAAATGAATTGGCTGTTATTAGTATGGGAAAAAATAATCAAGCAGCTGACCCATAAATGGTATTCAAATAAACAGCATATTTATAAGCCGGGATGTATGTGCTCATTTTGTGGGCAAGAATAGAATACTTGATAGAGCAGATGAGGTTAGAACTAGATAGCAGGCCAAGCAAGTAGGAGTAAAATAAAATAATAATAATAGCGTTCCATATGTTGAATATCTGAGTTTTGCACTAGTACTACTTTTACTTTACAGGTGAGAAAATTAATGCCTAGAGTAGTCAATAAATTTTAGTCAATATCGCATAGCAGTAAATGGCAGAATCATTGCTCATCCCAAGATTCTCTGGCTCCAAACACCTTGTTCAAAACCTAATCTAGGTTTCTAAATTTGTTTGTTGTGGTTTTCTCTGATGCTGATACTGGTCAAAGTGCTCAGCAATGAGAAACTCTCTCAACCACTCTTTGTGTGTGTGTGTGTGGAGATGGGGGGGGGGGGTCTCACTATGTTGCCCAGGCTGGTCTTGAACTCCTGGTCTCAAGTGATCCTCCCACCTCAGCCTCCCAAAGTGCTAGGATTACAGGCATGAGCCACCACAACTGGCTCTCAGCTACTCTTGATATAATTATTCAAATCCTTCTCTCATAAAGATAGCTTAAGCAAATAAATATAGCAGAAAAGGTTTACCACCTGAACTCAATTGAATATAGCTTCTCAGCAGGTAGCCATTAAGGTAGCTACTATTCTAGAAGAACCTCTATTGATACCTTAAAATACCGAAATAAAAGCTACTCCTTTTCTCCCAAGCTACGCATATATATTCACGTGAGCATAGGTTTCCTTGCACTCATGCATACATGAATGCACTTATTAGCTAAAACAAAATTGCAAAAATGGCAATCTCTTTAGATTCTATGTAGAGTATATAGTTCACATTTCTATTTCCATAAAAAATGCAGCACATCATATGATTACATTTTATAAGTCTATATTGTTAAAGAGAGAGCAGGAAGACCAACAGTCGGAGCATACACTGGAGAGGTGCAATTTAGTATCAAAGAAGGAATTATAATTGAGAGAGTTTAGCAGTAGAAGGTCTTTCACTAGAGATATATTTTGCTCTGCTTTTGGTGAGAGTCTTCTAATCACAAAGATATCCTAATATAGGCACAAAACACTTACTTTTCTTAAATTTTTCCTAAGGGAGAAAAAAATGAACTCCCACTGACCCTTTTAATCAGTTGGGTCAAATCAGACCTATTGTTAAAGTGGCTTCAAGTCTTCATTATTTCAAAAATGTATGCCAGAGAAGAAACTTGAAGTTTCCAACAATCAGACCCTGTTACAGATTTTCCCTGGCAAATTTTCACCAGAATAGAATGATCGGAGAGCTATCTTTGTAAAGTATGTGATTAAGAATCATGATACAGGATTAAATGGTGGGATTTAACTGCTTTCTTAAATTCAATGTGTGCTCTAACCCCCTGATTGTGGTAAAATTGAAACAATCCTCCTTCCTCTTAGACTGCAGAAAACAGAATCCATTAATTCTCTGGCCCTGCATGCTGTAGAAATATGAGTTAAATTAATCTTTCAGACTGGAAAATTTCATTCATTCATCCAATCATTCATTCACACGAACCAGTTAGGAATCAAACACAAAGTAGTTTAGCCCTCTTGCTATAAATAGAAAAGAGAATTTTAGAGAGCTGAAAGAGGCCTTGCTTTTGGTCAGTGACAGAATGTAAGCGGCAATAATTTCACATTAAACACATTCATTCTGTTTTTAGCAAGAAAATTAATGCTCTGCTGGTAGTCATGAGCGTAGCTACTATTCCAGAACAACCTTTATTGATACCTAAAAATACTAACATGAAGATTGCCTCTTTCCTCTAAAGCTGTGTGTGTGTGTGTGTGTGTACAAACTTGCACAGGGGTGGTCTTGTACTTGCACACACATTAATGTCTGTAATAGTAACAGTGACATTTAATAAATATTTTGTCTTTGCATTCCTCCCTATTTTATCTCCTTTCATCTATTCCTATCCTTTACTGACATTTTTTTCTTTGTGCTTGGTTAATGTATGGTCAATTTCAAAACAAAAGAGAACCTTCCTCTCTGACCTGAAGCCCAAACTACCATTTACTCTTGGACTTTCCAGGCAGCACTTCTGGTACGTGAGGGCCTTGCTCTTATTTCCCATTTTTGCAGTTTTTATATGAACATTATATTTTTTCTTACTCTTTTGTTACCTTCCATTTTCCTATAAAGGAGGGAGTGTTGTGAGCATTTATTTCCCAGGAAATGGCACGTAGATCTTTCTAATAGTTATGCTGAGAACATAGTTTTGGGGGTTTCCTTTGACATTTCAAGTCATCTCAGAAAGATTTGTGGTATAGAAGAAAAATCTTAGTTTTCTTCAGCTTTTAGGAACTTGAGATGTAGTGAGGTTTCAGGGCAGGGTTGAAATACAGTAAGATGGTTCCAAGGTCCCAGTCATCATGTGAGTTGCAGTTCACAGAGCGATAGAAACAGCAATGTTGGGTCCTGACCAGAAAGACCTGGGGACAGGAAGTAGGAGTGGTATGCAAATTGCAAAAGGAAATATGCATGCAAATGTGCTAAGGCTGAGTTCCTCAAAATGCGAATGGCGGGCCACCTACAGCAAAGTCACCCAGGAGTGCTTGTTAAAAATGCAAATTGGTTGGGCCCACATCAAACCTAAAAGGATGTAGGTTACTGGGGAGTGAGGCCTGGGGAATCTATATTTTATCCATATTCCCCAGGAGATTTTTCTATATTCACAGGAAAAATCACAAGAGCTGGAGATCACCAGGAAGAAGAAAGAGACACAGGAAGAAGTGAAAGAAATTTAGACTGGTTGAAGCTAGAGTCTAGGCAAGCGTGGGGGAATAGGCAAAGGCAAAGGCAAAGTGAGAGAAGTTGTGTAGACATTTGGGAGCCCATCTTACTGTTTCTCCAAGAATTTGGACATTATCCTAAAAGCAGGGGGAGATGGGTAGCAGCTATAAAATCTTCTTGGCAGAAACTAGCACGGACAGAAATTTTACTAAGTACCTGGCAGTGGGCTGTTTCAGGATACCTTGTTATTGAATCAGTGCCATATCCCTATGGCATAATTATACACATCCCTACTTTTGACAGGGACACTGACTCACAGAGAAACTAAGAAATTTGATCAAAGTCACAAATAAGTTTTCTAGTGCTAGAGGTAGGGTTTGAACCCAGGTACCCAAGCTTGTTTTTCTAACCACTTCACAAACTGCCTCTTAGACAAAGATACAACTTATACATTGTTATTGTGTAAGCACCAGGTGTTAAGGCTCCAGGAGTGATGTTTTGTTTTGCTTTGTGTTTTGTTTTATTTTGGAGTTGTGCGGCGGGGGCAGTAAGGATAGCAACACCAGTAAAACAAAACCCTAGAGGTATAATCCAATGCAGTAACTAATATGTAAAATAGGAGTTTCAATGTTATCATAAATAAGATGCTGTATAATCAAAATGAATTATCTAGTGAGTTTTATGTTTTAGCTTTCAACCACTGATACTAATAAGATGGGTTGAGGTTCCAGTTTCATAAAATAAGAAATAGAAAAGTATTACAGATTCCTTCATTATGACTGCTTAATGCACATGGTAGTGATAAACCTACTACACATTGGAGCTAGGTCCTTTGGGTTCAAATCTCAATATCGTTAAACTGTCATGCATGGGGCCAATTCACTTAACATCCTTGTAAGACAGGCAGGCTGGCCAATTTCCTATTTTGATGTGGTCTTGTGAAAAAGGAAAAGAAAAAACTTCTCACTCGATCTGTAGCTTATCTGTCTTCCAGCCAATCAGCAATAAATAAATAAATAAATAAATAAATAAATAAAGACCCAAGAAGCTCTTACCCACAAGTTCCTGCTTTATGGAGACAGGGACTTCTTGGGACACCACATGCACAGTTATAAATGTCAACTTATAGTTACCCCTTCCTCATTTTAATGCTAAAAATCATGCACGGGGTAGAGATTTAAAATGTTACTGTTATATGCAGTATATAAGGAAGCATGTAAAGCCACTGCAGGAGCACTAGAAAAATCCCTCCTGTACATGTGCTGATGAAACCCATCTCTGTAGAAAGGCCCTATAAAACTAATGCACGTACTATCCTAAGGGAGAAGTCTGCCCTTTTGCTTTTGCAGTAGTGACTTCCTTGTGCACAAGCTAAATAAAATCCTTCTCTTTCTCTTTGCTGCAGCGTCTGGTGATCTCTCTTCATTTCTAGCCTGGGAGATTACAAGGACCCAGGAAAATGGTGACACTTCAATTTCCATTCGTTTAATTTGTAAAATGAAAAGTATTTACAGCACCTACGTAGCCTAGCTCATCAGACTGTTATAAATAATATGTTCTGGTGCACATAAAAGTAACAATAACAACAACCTTTACAAACTGTAGTCAGCAATCCATAGAGTTGGTATTACTAGATGACAAACTCCCTTGGGAATGAGGACTAAGACTCATACAAGACTTTACTCAGCGCAACGCTTAATGCCTGGAAGTATTCAGCAAATATTTGATAAAAAATGACTTAATCATCTAAGTTGCTTTATTTTAATAAATATATGAATAATCCAACATATAAGGAATAAAATAAATCCACATTTTTGTTTAAGAAGTGTTCCTTACCCACCTCACAAAGAAACCTGCCAGAGCTATTTAGAGAGTGTTTGCTTTCTTACCATGAAAATCAAAATCGCCTTGTTACCCCATTTTTCTATATACTGTAAATTAATTCAAAAATAATCACAAACCTTATAGTTAAGCCCATCTCCCACAGTCCCATAAAATGTCTGAAACTTTGGCCCAATTTTAAATTAATCTTATCTAAGTGTACATAACATACATGCTCAAATGTACATATTTAGTAATAGTAACAACAAAATTAAAAAATGGTTTCAAATAGAAAAAAAAATAGTGAAAGGGGTAGCTAAAAATAGCTAAAGGTGTGACTAAAATTAGCTAAAAAAAATAGCTAAAGGGAATTTGTGTTAAATTTTAATACACAGACACACATATACATATTTTATTCTATTATTATAATTTGACTTTCTAAAAGATTTTCTTCTGCTTTACAAAGAAAAACCAAATAATCTGACAAAGTGGTGTAACTAGATGTGTCTGCCATGCAGAATGTTTAAAAGGAAGGTCTTAGTTTGAGTGCAAGTGTTTTGAACCATGAGTTACAAAATGGATATGTGGCTTATCTCCAGCTGGGATTCATCAAGGGAGCTTGTGCCAGTCACTTCTTTTGGTCCTTCAGTTGGCCCATCTGAAACATCCCAGGCATGGATGAGAGGAGGGTAAGGGCTGAGGTCCTTTGGATCCCTGGCCTACTAGAATCATCTCCAGAATATATGCCAAGACATTATTCTCTCCCAATTCGGTGTATTTTTCTAAAGGGAAGACCAAACATCTGAGTGTTATAAAAGAAAAAATATTATAGGGCTTGAATACACTCATGTCTGACCATTAATTTATTTGGTCATTCAGCAAATGCTCATTGAAGTTGATGCTATGGCCTGAGACTATGACAGAAGGTTAAAGTGTGTGAGGGGACACACACAAGTAATCAATGACAGTATGATGTGATCAACAATATTATAAGCAGCAAGCAGAGTCCTTAGCAAACAAAGACGCAAATTGCAGAACCCTTTTGAAGCAGATGGAAAAGGCTTTACGGTGAAAACAACGATTAAACTAAGTTTTAGGGAACAGGTAAAAGTGAGCAAGCAAAGTTAGAGTAAGCAGGTTTCAAATCCTGATTTACCATTTACTGACCTTTGGCAAGATATTCATGTTCTCTAAGCCTAGGATCTTCTTTTGTAAAATAATGAAGATAATGCTTCTTCATATGGTTTAGAGTAAACCATAGAAGGTGAATTTAAAGCATTCTTAGCAGTGTCTGGCATATATGAAGAGCATAATAAATGTTGATTTCCTCCTTTAAAAGAATGAGCATAAAGGAACCAGGTTCTTTCTTGGTTAAGACATTAATCATTACTGCCCTTCTGAACCTGAAATGGTTAAACAGGGTGTGACGCCTTTTTTCTTTTCTCTTACTCCCTCCTTTGCTCATATCTACATTTCTTGAGGGTGAAGCATCATAAGGAGGCTTTTTTAACAGGGACAGAAATATTCTAAGCACTTCACATATTTTGTTATCTTTAAAAAAAAAAACTTTGCCTTATGAGATGGGAAATTATCCCAATTTTTCCTTTGAAAAAAATGAGTCTCAGAAAACTTAAGAGATTGCTTAACATGACGTAGGCATCAAGTGATCAAACTGAGATTCAAATTCAGGTTGCCTGTCTCCAGAGTCTGTTCCCTGAATCACTGTACATGATACATATCTATGATATAATGTGTCTACTATATATTATGAAAATCCACCAATGATCACAAGAATAAAAACAGAAGTCCAAGAACAGAACCCTGGGAACACCAACACTGAAGAATCAGTGAAAGGAGAAAAGACCATAGGAGACTGATTAGGTACTAGCAGAGTTTGTTACCTCGCATAAAGGACACTGCTGGTCGCCTGTGCAGGATGCATTACGTTTTCTTGCTTCCCAAAAGGACATTAATGATGTTCAGGTATCCACTCTGCCCTTCTCACGTGAAGTAGAGGAACCTTAATCTACTCACAGCTTCAAAAGTGAATTCTAATTATTCTAGATCATTCCAAATCAGGAGAGACATTTCTCTAGACACTCTTATTAGTCCAGCGACCTAGGATGGTCCTATAAAACCGAAAATAAGAACTCATGGCATGCATTGGGAATTTTCCTCTTCTTCACCCTGCATATGAACCAAGAAACATATTGCCCCAGTTACAGTTGGTAGCCATTCCGTGGCCATCTGAGCTGCTCTGAAGAAAAAGTTGACGTTGAGAAGAGCAGAACGAAGAGAATCCAGGGAAACAGAGCCAGACATCTGATATAATTGTCACTGGTTGTGTTCCTATCTCTACACTTCTCATAACCGGAGAATTATATGACAGACAGTGTTCTCATTATTTGAGTCAGTTTCACTTTTCTGTTACATGAGACAAAAGAAAAGCAAATTGATATATTTTGAGAAACAATGAAAAAAGTCTAAAAAGAGAATGCTCAGTAGTATTAGATATTTCAGAGAAGGGAATTTACAGTTTTGGAAAATCTCAATACATCCATAAATTTCTGACACACAAATAATTTGGCCAATTGGTCCATGGTGAATCTAAGAAATATAGTACTTATTTTTATATGCCCACATTTTTTGGGGAAAGAATAGAAGGTAGGGGTGGAAGGACCAAGTAAGTGGACTTTACCATTCAGCCTTTTGGAAGTTTATTCATCTATACGTATTTATGCCTGCAAACAATGCTGCACATTTGTATGTAGTCAGTCTTGTATACTGCATCCAAAAAAATAGACTGTCTCTGAGCATTTGTATAATAAAGCTAGAAAAATTCTGTAATTAATCCCAGACTAATTACCTTCACACCAAGAAAAGCACTCTGGAGTTGGCATGTGGCTTAACTGCCAAGAACCATGTTATAATAAGGTTGGAGGGAGGACTTTCAAACATTTTGTCCATGGTATATATACCCTCACTGGATCCGAACACCAGTTATTTACAGAGCTATACAGAGAGAATAAAGGTAGATGAAAACCTCCCAAACTGTATTTTCAGCACCAATTTTCATCTTAAGCCTTGTCTATTATATATATGTCATCCAGTTGCATCATAAATTTAAAGAAACAGAAATTGGAGACTAAGATGTCACAAAGACCAACCTGCTTCCCAATGTAAGGCCCTTTCCAACTCATCCCTGATAACCATCTGAATAATTTCTACTTAAATATGTTTTGGGAGCTAATGCTTAGAAATCAGGAATATAAGCATGGAGCCACACCGACCTGGGTTAATGTTCATCTCTGATACTATCTGTACTCTAAAATAAAATTGAGCATTAATTTCCCCTACTGAGATGGATATGACCTGATTTTTTTTTTCACAAGACTGTTTTAACACAACATTTTGTTTTGAAAAAGAGAATGTTAGTTTTTTTCTCTCCTTTTTCCTTCTGTTGTCCGATATTTAGAGGACTTTTTTTTTTTTTTTTAAGATGGAGTCTTGCTCTGTTGCCCAGGCTAGAGTGCAGTGTCACGATCTCGACTCACTGCAACCTCTGCCTCCTGGGTTCAAGCAATTCTCCTGCCTCAGCCTCCCTAGTTGCAGGGATTACAGGCACCCGCCACCATGCCGGGCTGATGTTTTGTATTTTTAGTAGAGACGGGTTTCAGCATGTTCACCAGGCTAGTCTTCAACTCCTGATCTCAAGTGATCTACCCGACTCAGCCTCCAAAAGTGCTGGGATTACAGGTGTGAGCCACTGCCCCCGGCTAATATTTAGAGTTTTTATAAAATTCTAGCAGATATAAATCTGTAATTAGCCTCCCTAAAACAACTTCTCACTAGTCCTCATGCCTTCTTCCTGGAGTTAATAGAAGATAGTTGTTTCCTCCAGAATCATCTCCTCTACCTCAGGAAAGTCATTAAAGAAACACTGGAAGCAAGATTTTTTACTTAAAATGTGTCTGAGATTGCAAGCTGCTATGGTTTAAATGTCTGCCAATCATCATGCATTAGAAACTGAATCCCCAGAGCAAGTGTTGAGAGGTGAGCCTTTTAAGAAGTGAACAGGTTGTGAGGGCTCTTCCCTCATGAATAAATTATTGTCATTATTGTGGGAGAGGGTTTCTAACCAAAGGATATGTTCCAGTCTCCTTTCTTCTCTCTCTCAGGTACCTGTGCTATTTTGCCTTTCTGCTTTTCACCATGGGATCACAGCAAGAAGGCCCTTTCTAGATATCATCCCCTTAATGACAGACTTCTCAGCCTCCAGAATTATAAAAAATAAATCTCTTGCTCTATAAATTACCCAGTCTCTGGTATTCTGTTAATGGACTAAGGCACAACCCTTCATAAGAAAATTCTTCCTAAGATTGTTTCAATACCTTGACTTGATATAGAGGTACTGAAGGCATTTGAGCATTTTTCTCAGTACACTCAGATTCTATATTTCATAAATATAGTTACCCAAATTAACTCCAATATTTCAGATGTGATCTTACCAAAATTAAAAATATAATACACAGTATTCTATCATCTGGATGTTGTACATCTATTAGAATAGGTAATAGTTGTGTGAATTTGGTGAGCCACTACATCATACAGCCCATTAATAATGTTTTTATTTTATAAAAATTCCTGGATGCCTTTTTTTTTCCATCTGAGTCCTGAGTTAAAATTGCAGCTCCACTGGCCTTTTGATCTGGGATATGCTGTTTAACTTTCAAGGTCCCAGTTTTCTATCACATGCCAGCAGGTTAATAAGTGTTGCTTCCCTTACATTTCTCAACTACCTTCTTCATTCTCAACCATTCAGTTGGATGCTTAAGTGACAGATGCAATGGTAGGTACCTGATGGCTTACAAGAGAAACAGACCAAGATTGTGAAGAACCTGCCATTTTATGATCTGTATCAATAACTGTACTGGGGTGTCTAGCATCTGCTGACAGTAATTCTCAGGTGAGCATGGGGATTCCAGGTAGCAACAGGTGAATAGAACTCATTGGATCATTATAATATATCATCAGTATGTGAGAGTCAAAAGTAAGGTATACACATACATACACACACACACACACACACACACTGTGCACGGGTGCATGCACACACATAACTTACACCATGCTCCAAATCCTGGAAGCATTTGTGTCAGTGAGTGTGTAAAATAGAAGCTGGCTCATCTTCCAATGGGAACTAAAAGTGTTTTGCTTTGTGATCATGGCTCCCTGAGTTTATGTGTTTAATCCCAAATTTTTCATAACAAGGTTGGAAAGTTGGAAAGGTTTTTTTAATAATTCCATGCCTTACAGTCTGTGTGCCTCATGAGAAAGGTCAGCCATGGTCACCTTTCTTTCATTACATTTCTACTCTGCTAATAAACTCCATCTGAAACAGCCAGGCTGAAAAAAGTGACTTTCCTGTGGAGAAGGTTTTTCTCTTTTTCCTACTTAATTAGCTACACTTTAGGTAGGGTGACTGGAGGGGAGCTGGGAACATTATTTAAAGCTCCAGGGAGAGCCAGACTTTGTCCTATTACTACAAACCAAACCAAATCAAGTGAATCAATTTAAGCTGAACAGACCATATTCTGCTAAATGTACCTTAATTGTAGAGAATGTATGGTGCACTTTTAAAATCACATTTTAATGATCCTGGGGAGTAAAAACATGCATTTGAGCTTAAAATTTTTTCATTCACTGATCCAAACTATTTATTGAGTAGCTACTAATCTGAGCAATTTAGCTCAGCGAATGTTATGCTTGTTGGAGATAAACTTAGATTTGATTTTCATTTTCACCAGTTTCTAGTGAGTGTTTTTTTTTTAATTTACTTACATTCTCTGAGTCGTTCTCTGCAAAATGCTATAATAATGTCATTTTCATAGAGTTAATTATGATAAGAGACTATATGACAAGTAGTATGTATTCAATAAGTGGGATATATTGTATTAATATTAAAAAACTAAAAACACTTTGGGATTCTCCTCCCAAAAATTTGCTCTTTGACGCTTGAGAGCTTACATTAAAAGAAATCAACTAAATGCTACCAGAGGTTAATTGCTGAGAAGTCAACCTATTATGGATCTTGAAAGTTCTGTGTAAATTTAATCCCAGATAGAAAATTTACTGACCTTTGTTTGGGGGTTAACTAAAATACCAAGATGACATTTTAAATAATAAAATCATCTCCTTAATATTCAATTCACAGAAAACTGATTCTTTCAGTATTATTAAACCTGCTTTATAGGATAATGCCACCCACTCTAGTTCCCTGGTGATCACTAATGCACAAATTAAGGAAGTTAGAAAATACTGCATCTCACATTTTATTTTATAAGTCTATCAAAATGAAATAAAAAATTAGGGGAAATATTAGTAAATCATGATATAAGGACATTAGAGTATTTTGTATTGTTATTAAAATAGTAATTATTAAGATGATGTAGAAAAGCAGTTCTCTAAAAGTAAAAAAAAAATAAAAAAATAAAAATAAAAAAGTCATGAGCCCTTACTGTACACCATCCAGCATCCATTTTTGCTTTCAGACTTATCTAATTTTGTTGGCTATCTTCCTGCCTTATCTCGTAGGCAGCAAACTTCTGAATTTGTTTGCTTGCTTTACGGGAATGCTATTCTCACTGCCAGTGATTGGTTTAGGAAAATGTACATGACCAGGTTCTAGACAAAAGGGCATCATGACAATCTCATGGGGGATTTCATGGAAAATGACCTTGGTCTTAAGAAATACCTGTAAGAAGAGGTAGGCTCTCTCTGCTTCCTTGAGAGATCACCTTATGTGTATGTGATACCTAGACACACTACAGCCATCTCGCAGCCAGAGAAGAAAAACAACATTCAGCATGCTTGTTTGCCGTGGTGAAAGACACCTGAGGCCCTGACCTCTATGATCACATTTCTCACCTTTTTGGTAAAATATTCTTATGCTTCTATCATCTTGTTTTATTGAATAAGCTGACACTAAATAAACCCACTCTGCCTCTGGACTTCCTGATATGAGATGACTGGCCTTATAGTATAAATCAGTTTGTGTTAGGATTGATGTTTCTTTTAGCTGAAAGAATTATCACTAAGACGGTAACTTTCTAAAATATAAATACATATGGACAAAGATTGGAGTAAATATATATACATGAAAAATGTTTTTAATTGTTCAAATATTTTGTATGTTGTTAAATCATATTTTCAAAGAAGAGAAAAAAATCGATTCATTCTGGTTATACGGGCAAATGCTCTGTTAGTGGCTCAATATTTCTATTTGTGAATATTGTATAAAACCTGTATCTATTATCTTCTCAGACTGTTTATTCAGCAGATTCTCAAAAACAAACAAAAAAAAAGCAGTTACCAAAAACAAAAAAGTAACTATCTGGACTCTAATCTTTCTGTAATACATATAGTGAAATCCAAAACTATTCCTTCAAGCCAAGCATAGTATGTCTAGAAAAATGAAGAAACAAGGCTGGGTGCGGTGGCTCACACCTGTAATCCCAGCACTTTGGGAGGCCAAGGTAGGCAGATCACAAGGTCAGGAGTTCCAGACCAGACTGGCCAACATAGTGAAAACCCATCTCTACTAAAACATACAAAAAATTAGCCGGGCATGGTGATGGGCGCTTGTAGTACCAGCTACTTGAGAGGCTGAGGCAGAAGAATTGCTTGAACCCAGGAGGCAGAGGTTGCAGTGAGCCGAGATTGCACCACTGCATTCCAGCCTGGGGGACAGAGTGAGACTCCATCTCAAAAAAAAAAAAAAAAAAAAAAAAAAAAAAAAAAAAACAAGAAAAGAAAAGATAAGAAAAGAAAATGAAGAAACAGAAAATGTGGAACTGCAAATTTTTGTGTCTACTCACAGTTCAGGTGACCATGTCTCAGGCATATTTTTCAATCTAAACTACATCTTATTTCTGACTTGACCTGAGATTCTTCTCTGGAAAATGTACCTTTTCTTGTTATTCTGGCTCCCATGGTACTTGGGCAGTTTTGGGTCCAATATCCCCTTCTCAATAGCCACTCTTTCTTCTTTCAGTTTGACACAGCAGGGCCTGTATTAGTTTATAATTGCTGCTTTCTGTGGGTCAGGAGTCCAGGCAAGCCTTCACTGGGTCCTCTAGGAAGGATCTCACAAGACGGCAATCATGGCGTTGACAGGGCTACATTCTTTTCTGGATCTCAGAACCTCCCCTAATATCAGGTAGTTGTTAACAGAATTCAGTTTCTTGAGATCATAAGGCTGAGGCACCTGTTTTTTGCCAGCTGTTGGCCAGGCATCACTCTTAGTAACTAGAGTCTGGCTACAATTCTTTGACACGCAACATTGTCATGACATGGCTTCTTATTTCTTTGAATCCAGCAAGATAATCTCTTGCTCCAGTCTGCTAAAGCAAAGTCTTTTATATATAATTCTATTGACTAGAGGCAAGGTGCAGGTACTTCCTGTGTCCGAGGAGAGGGGATATACAATGGTATGACTTCCTGGGGGTTACAATAAGGTGTGTCTGCCAGTGACCCTGTACTCCTGGTGCCCTCTGTTCACCTTCTACACCACTGCCACTCAACTCCTTTACAGAGGCAACTAGTGTTCAGAGACTCTACTTGCCAGATAGTGGTGGCAAGCAGACTTAAAGTCAGATATATCTGGATACAAATTCTATTGCCCCTTTTTATTAGTGTATTAGTCCGTTCTCACACTGTTGTAAAGAAATACCTGAGACTGGAAAATTTATAAAGAAAAGAGGTTTAATTGGTTCATGGTTCCACAGGCTGAACAGGAAACATGATGCTGGCATCTGCTAGGCTTCTTGGGAAGCCTCAGGAAACTTATAAACATTGTGGAAAGCAAAGGGGGAATGAGCACTTCACACGACCAGAGCAGGCGGATGAGAGGTGACAGGCAGGTGCCACACACTTTTAAACAACCAGATCTTGCGAACATTCCCAATCACTATCCCAAGTACAGCACCGAGGGGGATATCTGCCCTACTCCTGGTATCAAAATCTGTTTTAGTCACAGTTCTCCAGAGAGACAAAACAGGATATATGTATATATGAAAGGGAGTTTATTAGGGAGAATTGACTCACATCATTACAAGATAAAGTCCCACAATAGGCCATCTGCAAACTGGAGAAGACAGGAGTCAGTAGTGGCTCAGTTAGCCTCTGAGAGGCTCAAAATCAGGGAAGCTGACAGTGCAGCCTTCAGTCTGTGACCAAAAGCCTGAAAGACCCCAGCAAACCATTGGTGAAAGTTTCAAAGGCCAATGGCCAAAGAACCTGGATTCTGATGTCCAGGGGCAGGAGGAGCAGAAGGAAGCATCCATCATGGGAATAATAAGGAAGCCAGAAGCCTCAGCAAGCAAACTTATTCCACCTTCTTCCACCTGCTTTGTTCTAGCCATGATGACAGGCAGTAGGATGGTGCCCAACCATATTGAGGTTGAATCTTCCTATCTCAGTACACTGACTCAAATGTCAATCTCTTCTGGCAACACCTACACCCTCACAGACACACCCAGAAACAACACTTCACCAGCCATCTAGGCATCCTTCAATCCAATCAAGTTGACACCTAATATTAACCATCCCAATTACTTAACTTCCTCATCTGTAGAATGTAAAATATTTTAGGTTAAAATTTTCACAGGACTGTTATGAAAACTAAACTAGGTAATACACAGAAAAAATGTTAATACAGTGCTTGATACTTGGTAGAAACTCAAAATGGGCATTTATTAAAAGTAAAAGTTTACAATTTTTGTGTACATGCTTTGAAACAGATAATTTTTTAAAAAATACAAACACACTTGAGCATGCCACTTCCTCCTTTAAAACTCTCCAAAGTTCCTATTGCTCTCAAAATAAACCTTCACAATGGCCTATCAAGTTCTGCAATGACATGGTCTTTGTGACTTGGTCTCTCCCCACACTCCTCCCCTGGATGTGGGCTTTCTTTAAGTCTCTTAAAGACTGTGCTTCTCACCACGGCTCTTTGCAGGAGCTCATCTCTCTACCTTGCTCTCTTCTGTAACATTTATCTTATATGATCTCATTTGTTTTTGCTACAGCTCTAGTATATACATATTATTAATTTCAGTTTATGGAAGAGACTAGAAGTTGAGTTGTTCTTCTAAGAATATATACAATTAAAAAGAGTGACCTAAGATTGGAATCCTGGGGCTGTCTGATTCTATGCCCCATTCTCTTTCCTAATCAGATTGCTTCTCTAAATATGAACCTGCAAACGTACTTGTTTTCTCTATTGACTTTTGAGGGAAATATTTAGGGCAGCATTAACGAGTATCTACATTTAAAATCTATAAATGTGATTTGCGTCTTCTATCTCTAGTTCCCCTATTGGTACCCACCCCGATAGAAATAAATTAAACCAGTCTGGATAAAATAAGGGCCTTTTTAGCTACCATCCAAAATCTAATTATGACTTTAAAATATTCTGTAATGACACTATATTATGGAGATAGAGTCTCCCCTGAGTGTTTACATTACCATTCCCTGTGTAAGTGGGAGAGGAAGCATAATGAAGATGGTTGATATTTACCGCAAAGGATTAAACCAGATCAATGGATATGAATCACCTAGAATAGTGCCTAAAATATAGCAGTTGCTCAATAAATTTTGTATATTATCTTATTTACTCAAAGAAGTCTTTTTTTCTTTTGGCCCATTCTGGTGACATACCAATGATAACACTCAATTTGACTGATATACTTTGGGGTTATGGGCCTGAGTCAGAATCCTAGCTTCTTCATTTATTACCTGAGTGGCCTTGGGCAAGTTACTTAACCTCTCTGTGCCCCAGTTTTGTCATCTGTAGTAAGAGAATAATAGTGATACCTTCCTCATAGGGTTGTGACGAGATAAAACGAGTTACTTTTAGAGAGAGCTGACAATTGTGTTGCATACACAGTAAGTACTACGTAAGTGCTTGATAAATAAATAAAACATTTACTGGAAACCAATTATAGAGCAAGTTAATTTAATACACATGCACATATACACACACCCACACCCACACCCACAGAGACAGAGAGAGAGAATTTTCAATCAGATTATCAACAGACTCTTAAGGAATTTAGAATCTTGTTACGGGAAATAATACATTCAGGGAAAATAATTTTAGGAAAATATAAAGTTACAAGTTTTAGACAAGTAAGTAAAAGGCTTTATTGTGCTCGAGGTTCCTAAAGAACACTTTATATGTTATATAATTTTGAGAGTGATATATTATTATTGTTGCTGAAGCAACTAAGTTTGGAAGATGGTAGATGCTAAAACGCTATAGACTATAAGTAGTCAAATGGCAACCTAGAACTTTGATTGTAAATTGCAATTCATTCATTTATTCATTCATCCATCCACTTACTTACTCACCCATTTATTCACTAAAATTTACTGTGTTTCATGTGTATTTCACATAGTAGCCAGATTATCTGAAATACAGGAATTTCCTATTCATTGAGATAGTGCTAAAATCAGTCCTCTTGAAAATGATTGTTTCAGTAAGGTGGAAAAGAATATTTACATGGGGTTTGTATTTCTAAGCAGCTGGCTTGAGTAGGGACCAGTCAGGCCCCCTTTTGCATACCTGTTTTTGTTTTGTTTTGTTTTTCCAACATTCCTCCCCTTTCCCCTTCTGCGCCACCTTGGCTAAGATGATGTGGAAGCAATTAGACAGAATGCATGCTCCAACTGGAGAAAGGGAAGGACATCTGAATGCCAAATAACCACAGTGGGCATTCCCTCCAGGTCACTTTGAGTAAGCCCATCCAACCCCCATAAAGATACTACCGGTGCCTAGAAAAAAGGTGGCCCAGACATATCCTAGAAACACTCTCATTTGCTCTCAGATATTTTCACTTCATTATTATTATTATCATCATCATCATCATCAGGGTATATAACTAAACCAAATTTTATTTTAGATTCAGGAGGTACATATGCAAATTTGTTACATGGGTATACTGTGTGATGCTGAGGCTTGAGGTACAATTGATCCTGTCACACAGGTAGTGAACATAGTTCCCAATAGGTAGTTTTTAACCCTTGTTCCTCTCCCTCTCTCATTCTTCCCTCTAGTAGTCCCCATAGTCTATTTAGTTCCTATCTTTATGTCCACTTTTACACATATTTTTATAAAAACAATCAATATGGTATTAGAATGCTGTCCTTAACTTGTTTTCATTTATCACATCATGAATATCTTTTCATGCTAAAGCATAATGCATATTCAGCAATATGTTTATAGTTGCATAGTAGTCCATGGAATAGAAGATGTATGTAACAGATTCTTCCTGGAAGATATTTCCTATTGGCTCTTTGATTCTGCTCTTTGTCTCTGTTCTCCACCCCTCCTTCTCTTCCTTTCTTTCTTTTCCTTCAACAGATATCAATTGATTGGCTTCCCAGTATCAAGCTTATGCACAGATGTACTAGAAACCCTTGAAGAAGGGTGGGTAAAGGGACAGGCCCCAGAACCAGATGGATCATCTGCATCACAGCTCCCACACTTATGTCTTGGGACAAAAGGCCTATGCTTCTCTTTCCCACTACTGACACACGATTTCAGACTAATTAACTTGGTTTTCTTCAGCATTTTTCTCCAAAATGTAACCTTTAGATTAACTCCTCAATCCCCCACACAACTACTTCCTAGAGGGCCCTATTACCTTTTTTTTTTTTTTCCAAATCTTCTCATTTAGGCATCCTCCTCATTCATATTCCTTCTCTCACTCTCCATAGATGTGTGATAACATTTTTTATTTTCTATGAGGAAATCCATGTATTCTATCAGAAAGATTTCAGAAAAAAGGAATTTATAACTAATTGATCTCTACATCTGCTCTTTTGAATGATGTGTTTCCAACTTTTGAATTTTGCACATTACTTTCATCCAAAATATGTGGTTTATCATCATCTAGGGCAAATCATATGCCTCCCTTTTAACTCCACCCTCTCCCAAGTTAATAGCCCTTTTGCTTCATCTAACATATTTTGACGTAGTAGCGGGGCAGGCACAGGTACATACACAGCACAGCATGTTAAACTATCCAATATATGATGCATATGCCAAGGATTTTGTTGTCTTTTACAGTGATATAAAACCTACATAATTCTGTCATGTCCAAAACTGAAAAAGAGAAAACACTGCAAGTCCACTGTCATCTCAGGTTTTACATCCTGTTTTACTCATTTGTACCCAATAGACGGGCTAGTTATTCTTGACACCATAAATCCTGTCTTATTTCTCTAGATTTTCTGTACAATTTTCTCATTTATGCATGAAAAGAGAAAGAAAGAAAGAAAGAGAAAGAAAAGAAAACGAGAAAAGAAAAGGGAAGGAAGGAAGGAAAGAAGGAAGGAGAGAAGACAGGAGGACGAGGAGAAGGGAGGGGAAGGAAGAAGAGAGGAAGAAAAGGAAAGGAAGGAAAGAAAGAACATAATTGGCACAGTTAGAGAGATGAACCAACTAATTAGATGAGGAAGCCAAAAGTTTGGTCTCCAGCCCCAGGTACATCCCTATCTCCTCTGTATTCTGAAAGATTATGAATAGGAAGGAAGCTCAAATACGAAGATGCAGAAAAAGGAAGTGGGAAGAAAGGACAGGATGGTCAGAGGTGCCACTGGGAGGTTCTTGTGTGGGTAGTTGAGGATTTAAACTAAAAGTCCCATCTTGGAGAAAAATGCCAAAGAAAGCCAAGTTGGTAAATCCAAAAGCGTGGGTCAGCCATGGGAAAGAGAAGCGTAAGCCTCCTCTCACAATGCCTAAGTGTGGGGGCTGTGATTCAGATGATGTGTCTGGTTCGGGAGCCCTTGCCCTTTTCTATCTCTCTTCAAGGTTTCTAGTCAGTATCCCACTGCACATTGTGTAGTTAAATATTTTGCACCATATCCCTCAATACCCCTCCTGGACTTTCTCATCTATGCATTGGGACAGATAATAATTTTTGACAAAAAGAGGAGAGGGACTGTAAGATTTACAAGGAGGGGTGTAGAAAATTGGTAAGCACTGCTAACACTGATTCACACTTTTGCTGAAAACCTGTTTAAATTTCTTTTTTAAGTTTCATTGCTTGAGATAAATTAAAGCAACTAAGGGAAAGCAGCAAAACTGAAGCCATCTAGTCCAATTCATCATTTTCAACTCCCTGAGATTATATACACATATATATATATATAATTTTTAAAAGCAAGATTCATGACCTTTTAACTGTAAACTATCATAATTACAAACAAGTATTGCTCAGACAGACACCAGAGGCCAGGAAATTCTAAATGATTGTTACTGTTAGATATTTCTTGTGCATTCACAGCATAACAGATGCATTGCAGGATGTAACAAAGAACTCTCTCTACCTTCAAAGAGCTTACAGATATCACCAGGGAAAATTCATGGATTTATTGGTATAAGTAGTTTTTCTACAAATTGTATGTGTGGGTTTTTTTAAATTATTCTAATTGAAAGGATGATTCATCCTAAGTCTGCACATTATGGTAGAACAAACTTAAGTCTTCGAAATCAAGCCTCCCAAAAACCAAATTTCAGTGGCAACTCATTAACTACATAATGTTAATTCCTTTCAACCAGAATTATTATATCAATTATATGAGATACTACATATGAAAGTACCTAGCAGAGTGCTGGGCATGTAGGCATTCAATAAATACTAGTTTTTCTTTCCTTAACTATCATTTTTTTCCAATGGTGGGATATCAGACATCACAACAGGTTGCTAAAAATTGTCTGTTATTGGAGGCAGCATGATTCAAAGAAAAGATCATGGACATTGGAGCCATATAAATGTGGGTCTAAATGTTGGCTTCTGGCTGGTAAGTAGCAGTAAAAGATTTGAATCTTCCTATGTCTGACACTGAAGCTATGCCTTTCTCACCATTCCACACTTCCAAGTCAAAATAAAATGTAATCCCAAGGAATACTGAAAAGGCTTGGTAATTAATGTACAAAGTGGAGAAGCTCTGGCTGTCTTCCTGCTTAGTTGAAGTTTTAGTGGTCTCAGATAATGGCTATACAATATTTCCAGGGGTCAGTTCATTTATCAATTCCCATCTAGTTTTTCTTCATGCTATCCAAGTATTGGTTTGCAGACTGGCTCAAAGGTCTCTGGACAATGTAAAATCAAGAATGCTCCTCCTTTAGGGATCAGTGAATCAATTACCCTTAAAAGTGATAGCTTTTTCCTTAGGACAGCCCTTCCTAGATTTAATAATTCACAACTCCAGTTCCTCATCCACCTTTTTAGAAGGCATAGAAATTTAACTAGTTTGAATTGAATACATCTATAGGCATTCTGGCCTCTACCCCTAATCTGTCTGATTTTCTTTTTATATTCAGTTATTTCTGTATTTCCTTATTATACATAATCCCCTTGGGCTTGTATATATTTGAAACAATATGCTATTTGTTTCATGAGAAAAGGAAGGGTACAGGGAGGCCTGCTTTCTTTTATGGCAAAAATATTACAGGTTCCACAGTGCATCTGGGATTGGCAAGGTCTTCTTAGCACATAAAGGGAAGGGGCACGGAAGGAAGGAATGTCAACCTGACAAATCATGTATTTTCCCCTTAGGAGGCAGAAGGCTTCAGAGAAAAGAGTACACTATTTTTCAAGTCACATAACTCAAATTTCCTATCTAAACTCTGTTTCTCTTTATCCCTGGGTCTGCTTGGGAATGGTACTTCTCCTCTATACCTGAATTTTCTCACCTGTAAAATCAGGATGACACGTGGTAATCTCATATGAGGATTAAACAAAACAGCCTATGCATGTGGTAGTTGGCACAGAACAGCCACTGAGCAACTATTAGTTTTGTATTCTAAGTCTTTAAGGTTCACGGAAGACTCACAGTAACACTTGCTGTTTTAAAGCAGGAAACACGGTGGTTTCTGTGTACAACTGCTGTATAATATTTTTTTGATGAGTTGTACTTGTTTTGAGTTGATTCTGCATTACATATGCGGGATAAAGAAGACAGTAGAGGCTGGGTGTGGTGGCTCACGCCTGTAATCCCAGCACTTTGGGAGGCTGAGGCGGGCAGATAACGAGACCATCCTGGCTAACACGGTGAAACCCCATCTCTACTAAAAATACAAAAAAATTAGCCGGGTGTGGTGGTGGGTGCCTGTAGTCCCAGCTACTCGGGAGGCTAAGGCAAGAGAATGACATGAACCCAGGAGGCATAGCTTGCAGTGAGCCAAGTTTAGGCCACTGCACTCCAGCCTAGGCAACAGAGCGAGACTCCGTCTCAAAAAAAAAAAAAAGAAAAAGAAAGAAGATTTGTAGAATTAAAATATTGTCACTATTTACATGATTGTATTTTTAACAAAAATGACAAAAGCCTTGTTGAACAACGTAAGCCCAGCCTTATGCATTTAATGTTTTTTGTGTTTTGGAACCTAGGTTTCCTCTTTTGTAAAATGGTTAAAATAATACAAGCTTTGCTTATGCTTTTTTAAAAAAAAAACCCTGACAAATAAAAATTGTATATATTTAGCATGGATGACATATTTTGAAATATGTATACACTGTTGAATTCTAAATCAAGCTAATTAACATATGCATTACCTCACATATTTTTGTATTGAGAACACAAAATCAGTCGCAGTGATTTTCAGAATACACTGTTATGAGCTATAGTTACCCCATTGCACAAAAAATTTCTTGAAGTTATTCTTCCTGTTTAATTGAAATTTTGTATCCTTTGACATTTGTGCCTCTGTAAATTAAACTTTTTGATTCCACACATAAGTGAGATTATGCAGGATTTGTCTGTGTCTGGCTTATTTCAGTTAACATCATTTCCTCCAGGTTCATCCATGTTGTCACAAATGACAAGATTTCTTTTTTTAAAGTCTGAATAGTATCACACTGAGCATATATACCACATTTTCTTTATCTAGTGATCTGTTGATGTACAATTAGGTTGATTCTATGTCTTT
The DNA here is from genome assembly GCF_000001405.40 of Homo sapiens. NCBI lineage: Eukaryota > Metazoa > Chordata > Mammalia > Primates > Hominidae > Homo > Homo sapiens. The sequence continues at coordinate 80,492,875 of NC_000011.10, forward strand.
GCTATTGTGAAGAATGCTGCAGTGAACACGGGAGTTCAGAGATGTCTTCGGCATACTGATTTCATTTCCTTCGAATATATACCCAGTAGTGGGATTACTAGATCATATAATAGTTCTACTTTTAATTTTTTAAGGAAACTCTATACTGTTTTACATAATGGCTAATTTATAAAAAATTTACACAAATGTACATTTACAAAAAAGTTGTGTGAAAAAATATACTAATTTACATTCCCACCAACAGTGTACAACTGTTTCCTTTTTTCCACATGTTCACTAACACTTGTTATCTTTCTTCTTTTTGATAGTAGCCATTCTAACAGGTATGGGGTGATATCTCATTGTGGTTTTAATTTGCATTTCTCTGATGATTACTGATATTGAGTATTTTAATATACATATTGGTCATTTGTATGTCTTCTTTGGAGAAATGTCTATTCAGATGTTTTGCCCATTTTTAATCATGTTATTAGTCTTCTTGCTATTTGGTTGAATTTATTATATATTTTAGATATTAGCCCCTTACCAGATGTATGATTTGCAAATACTTTCTCCTATTCTGTAGGTTGTATCTTCATTCTATAGACAGTTCCTTTTGCTGTGTAACTTTTCAGTTTAATGTAATTCCATTTGTCGATTATCACTTTTGTTGCTAGTGCTTTTGGTGTTGTATCCAAAAATCAGTGCTTACACCAATGTCATGAAGCTTTTACATTTTTTCCAGTAGTTTTACAGCTGTTGATCTTACATTTGTATTTTTAATTAATTTGAGTATACTTTTATATGTGGTGTGAGATAAGGATCTAATATTATCCTTCTGTGTGTCAATACTCAGGTTTCTCAACACCGCTTTTAAAAGAGAATGCCCTTTCCTCATTGTATATTCTTCACATCTTTGTCAGAAATCAGTGACAGTAAATGAATGGGTTTATTTCTGGGCTCTCGTGTATATTCCATTGGTCTATGTGTCTAAAGATGTAAGTAATTTATGCACCACAATTGTAATATTAGAGCACTCTGGATTTGACTGTGCATTTACTTTTACCAGTAAGTTTTATACTTTAAGATGTATTTATGTGACTCATTAGTATTCTGTTCTTTCAGCTTAAAGACCTCCCTTCAGCATTCCTTAAAAGGCAGGTCTAGTGATAATGAACTCTCTCAATTTTGTTGGAGAAAGACCCTATCTCTGATTTCTGAAGAACAGATTTTCTGGGTAAAGTATTACTAGTTGGCAGATTTTTTTTTCCTCACCACTTTGAATATATTATCCCAATTTCTTCTAGCTTGTAAGATTTCTGCTGATAAATCTACTGCCACCATTATATAAATTCCCACATATGTGATTTGCTTTTTTTCTTCTTGCTGCTTTCAGAATCCTATCTTTATCTTTGTTTTTTTTTTTTTTTTTTTTGACCATTTGATTATATGTCTTGGTGTAGTTTTCTTTAGAATGAATCAATAGGGGGGTTTTGACCTTCCTCTAGCTGGCTATGTATATCTTTTCCTGGATTTGAAAACTTTTCTGCTCTTTTTAAAATAAGCTTTCTACTCCCTCTGAATCTCTCTTACCTTTCTTGAACTTTTGTAACTCTAACATTTCGTCTTTTGATGCTATCTCATAAATTTCATTAGCTTTTCCATTATTTCTTTTTGTAATTTTTTTCTCCTCTGACTGTATATTTTCAAATAATCTGTCTGAATTCACAAATTTTTTTTCTGCTTGATCAATTCCCTGTTGATGTTATCTATTGAATTTTTTATTTTATTCATTGTATTTTTCAGCTCCAGAGTTTGATTTTTTAAAAATAGTTTTAATCTGTTAAATTTTGAATTTTGGTCATTCATTGTTTTTTTGATTTCATGGAATTATTTCCCTATATTTTCTTGAAGTTTGCTGAACTTCCTTAAAACAAGTATTTTGAATTCTTTTTTGTGTGTACCTCTACAGCAGTCTTCCCTTATTCATAGGGGATATATTCCAAGATATCGAGTGAATATTTGAAACCATGGATAGTATCAAACCCTATATACACCGTTTTTTCCTATACATACATAACTCTGATAAAGTTAAATTTATAAATTTGGCAAAGTTAAAAAAAACAACGAAAAATAATAATAATGGAATAGAATAATTATAACAACATACTGTTTACAATTTCACAGAATATTTGTTCATACCACAGACCTTAATACCCTCAGCATATGATTTTTTTTCTTTCTTTACTAAGTCAAGAACTTCAACCTTTTCACTTAAAGAAAGCACTTTACAGCTTCTCTTTGGCATATCCAAATTGCTAGCATGACTACTCTTGTACTTTGAAGCCATTATTAAGGAAAATAAAGATTACCTGAACATAAGCACTGCAGTACCATGACAATCAATCTGATATTTGAGACAACTGCTAAGTGACTAATGGGCAGGTAGTGTATACAGCACAGATACACTGGACAAAAGGATGATTCATGTACTGGGAAGGTAGGAGTAAAATACCAAAAGATTTCATTACCTTACTCAGAATGGCACACAATTTAAAACTGAGGAATTGTTTATTTCTGAAATGTTACAATTAATACTTTCAAACCAAAGTTGACTGTGAGTAACTGAAACTGTAAATAATGAAACTGTAAATAAGAAGGGACTACTGTATTTCTTTAAGATCAGCTAATGGAAGATTACTGTGATATTTGGGCAGTTTTATATTTTTTTGGTTTTTCATATTTCTTATTGCCTTACGTTGATGTCTGCACCTTTGAAGAAGGAGTTACTTATTCCACTCTTCTTTTTTGTTGTTGTCTCTTTTTTTTTTTTTTGAGATGGAGTCTCACTCTGTCACCCAGGCTGGAGTGCAATGGCACGATCTCAGCTCACTGCAACCTCTGCCTCTCGGGGTCAAGACATTCTCCTGTCTCAACCCCCCAAGTAGGTGGGACTACAGGCACATGCCACCAAACCTGGCTAATTTTTTGTATTTTTCGTAGAGATGGGGTTTTGCCATATTGGCCAGGCTAGTCTCAAACTCCTGACCTCAAGTGATCCTCCGGTCTTGGCTTCCCAAAGTACTGGGATTACAGGCATGAGCCACTGCACCTGGCATTACTCCATTCTTTACAGACTGGCCTTGTCTGAGAAATCCCTCATCGGTCAGCCTGTCCAGAAATTCTGGATAGGCCATCTGGTATAGATCATCAGAGAGCTTGCTGCTAGATTCCTTGGGCAGACGGGGCTGTTGCCTGAGTCAGCAGGTAGGTGGGCCTGGAACTTGTGTCCAGAGGGTTGCATTTGAAGCCTGGATCCATTAGGGTAAACCTATTAATTAGGTCCACAAGGGTGTGAATAGAGCCCGGATGAGTGAGGGCAACCCTGTAGCCTTTATCTGGAGGGACTGTTCTGAGGTCTCAACACCTAGTGGGACCTAGGTGCTGGGGTGGAGCTATGGTCTGAGTCTGTGTGGGTAGGCTTTGGTACCAGGTCTGTAGGAGTAAACTTGGAACCTTGGTCATGAGAGCTGGCCTCACACCAGGGACTACTGGGATAAGCCCAAACACTCAGTCTGCTGGAGCAGGCCTGGAACGTGAAACCACAGGGGCTGGCCTGGAGAGTGGGGCCACATGGATTGGTCTGATACTGGGAAGAAGTGAAGCCTGTGACCATGGGTGCTGGCTTCCTGCCTGAACCCAGGGGTGCTGACCTAGTGCTGGGGTGGGCCAAAAGTCTGGGGCTATATGGGTACCAGGGCAGGCCTGGAGGCTTAGTCCGTGAGTACCAGCCTGCAGTCTCAGGCCTTGGGGACCTGCCCAGTGCTGGATTTTACTGGCGCAGTCTTGGTACTGTGAACAAAGGCAAAGTCTGGTATTCACTTCCCTCTCCTTCCCTCAAGCAGAGGGTATCTGTATCCATGCTGTGCAGCCTAGGATTGGGTGAGGGTTGAGGTGGGTAATGTATTGCTACCATCAGCTACTAGGATTTCTCACATGGCTTTCATAACTCTTCTGTAGGTACTTTTGTGTGTGAATAGTTGTTCAAATTGATGTTTCTGTAGGAGGACAAGTGCTGGAAAATCCAGCCCTCTAATGTCTTGCTGATGATGTCAGTCTCCACTATTCCACTATGGCGCGATCTCGGCTCACTGCAACCTCCGCCTCCCAGGTTCAAGCAATTCTCCTGCCTTAGCCTCCCAAGTAGCTGGGACTACAGGCGCCCGCCACCATGCCCAGCTAATTTTTTGTGCTTTTAGTAGAGATGGGGTTTCACCGTGTTAGCCAGGGTGGTCTCGATCTCCTGACCTCATGATCTGCCTGCCTCGGCCTCCCAAAGTGCTGGGATTACAGGCGTGAGCCACTGCGCCTGGCCTCCACTATGTTTTAAAATGATTAATCTGCATGAAACATGAGAAGATATTTTGGATGTGGAACGTGCTGTTCAAATATTCAAAAAATGGCATTATCATTGGTGTATTTATATTTGAACAGCATTAGCTATTACCTTGTAACCATCACACTATTATTTCACTAATCTGGGTATTTTATTATAAACAATTTTTAAATTATTACATAAAATGGTTCATTCTAATGAGGAAAATTGTTCAATTTTGGAACTTAAACATAACTAAAGAGAAATATTTATGTTTTTTAATTTATCTAAATATCAAAGACAAGGAAGAAAAGTCTAGGAAAGACGGGTAATATCTTGGAAATATTCTATAGTACCTTAAGTTTCTTGGAGCTTGCTGTCTTCCACTTTCTGCATTATTCAAAATCCTTGCACAGGCAGATTCTTCAGAATTAAGGCAGCTGGAACCTCGAGCTTTACAAATTACATTTAAAATTTTCAAATTCACGCTAATAAGGAGGAGTGGAACAGATAGAGGAATTAAAAAGAACTTGGATCTTTAATCTGCAGAGATGTCAGCATTGAATGGATTCTCATTGGTTTGGATATTTCCTGAGCACCAGCCACATGTTAACAGGTCATGCTTCCACAAATCATTTCTTTTAATGCTCACGAAACTATTCAGAACAACATTATGATCCTAGTTTTCAGATACTAATGAAAATATTGATGTTCACTAGCAAGTAGTGAAGTTCACAGAACTGAAACAATCAGTCTTTGCCCTTGGTCATTAGATGGCATAGAATTTAAATTGGGAACTGCAGGCAAGACTCATTTCTGACTGCACATCTAAGTCTGTCATCATTAGCATCACTAATGGAACAGTTTTCAACAATGAACAAGCAAATGTAGAATCTAGTAACTATTGTAGCATTTCAGAGTCTAATACTTTAAAAAAGTTTAAATAAGTCTCCCTGGATTCTTATTAATTTATGAAATTTGAGTTAGAAAGTATACATTATATTTTACAAATGCACTGTGAAGTGACAGTCAGTAACAATGGTTCTCAAACATTTTTATTCACTGGTATCACCAACCCCTAGGATCTTGTTAGAAATGCTGATTCCGGGGCTGGGCACGGTGGCTTATGCCTGTAATCCCAGCACTTTGGGAGGCTGAGGTGGGTGGATCATGCGGTCAGGAGTTCAAGAACAGCCTGACAACATGGTAAAACCCTGTCTCTACTAAAAATACACAAATTAGCCAGGCATGGTGATGCGTGCCTGTAATCCCAGCTACTCAGGAGGCTGAGGCAGGAGAATCACTTGAACCCAGGAGGCAGAGGTTGCTGTGAGCTGAGATCGCACCACGGCACTCCAGCCTGAGCGACAGAGCAAGACTCTGTCTCAAAAAAGACAAAAAAAAAAAAAAAAAGAAGAAAGAAAAGAAAGAAAGAAAGAAATGCTGATTTCTGGGCTCTTTCTCAGATCTACTGAATTAGAAATTTTGGAGGTGGGATCCAGCAATCTGTGTTAAAATCTTCCAAGTTATTATAATACACGCAGAAGGGCAAAGCGGCAAAGGGGACTAAATGTGTCCTTTCCTAGTCCATGAGGGTAGTGCCCTCATGTCTCTTTCACCTTACCAAAGCTCTCACCTACAAAAACCACCAAAAAGGCAAACAAATGTCAACATAGTTTTGGAGGGAAGAAACACATAACCAGTCTAAATGCTTGTGTTCCTCCAGAATTCATCTGTTGAAATCTAATCCCTGATGTGTTGATATGAAGAGGTGAGGCCTTTGGAAGGCGCCTAGGTCCTTAGGGCAGAGTCCTCATGAATGAAATCAGTGCCTGTAGAAAAGAGGACTGAAGGAGCTTGTTTTCTTCTTTTTACCCTTCCACCATAGAAGGACACAGCTATAAGGTGACACCTATGAGGCACAGAGCTAGCCCTCATCAGACATCAAACTGCTGACACCTGGATAATGGGCTTTCCAGACTCCAAAACAGTGAGCGATAAATTTTTTTTTTATTTATAAATTACCTAGTCTAAGGTGTTTTATTATAGCAACTCAGATGGACTAAAACAGAAATTGGTACTTAGAACCAGGGTGCTGGTATAATAAACTAAAAATGTAGAAGCAGCTTTGAAACTGGATAATGGGTAAAGGCTCAAATAATTTGGAGGTATATGCTAGAAAAACCTACATTGCTGTGAATAAAATATTAAAGGCAATTTTGGTGAGAGCTTAGAAGAGGAGAGCCATAGAGAAAGTTTCAGTCTTCTTAGGGATTACTTAAGAGGGTATGAACAGAATGTTGGTAGAAATGCACATGGTAAAGGTCATTCTGATGCCATCTCAGATGGAAATGGGAAACATGTGGAGGAAAGGTGAGCCTTGTTATAAAGTGGCAAATAACTTGGCTGAATTGTATCCATGTCCTAGTGCTTTGTGAAGGTAGAAATTTTGAATGGTGAAATACTATATTTGCTGGAAGATATATACAAGCAAAGTGTCGAGGCTATGGCATGGCTTCTCTTGTCTGCTTACAATAAAATGCAAGAAGAGAGAAATGAACTAAAAATAGAATTTATAATTGAAAGGAAAGCAGAGCTTAACGATTTGAAAAATTCTCATTCTGTGAAGAAGGAGAAAACAGGTTCAGGGGAGAACATCGAGGGTGTGGCCAAACAATCATTTGATAAAGAGATTAGTATGGATAGAAGAAAGCCAGAGGGTATTTATCAGGACAGTGGGAGAATGACTGCAGATTATTTCAGAGATCTTCATGACTGCCCTGTCTGTCAATGGCCCGGAATACCAGGGCCTTGGGGTAGAACAATCTCAACTCTCTGCTCTCTGAAATCCATGGCTGCACTCTTTGTCTGCCCCAACTGTGGCTGAAGTGGGCTCAGGTGCAACTCAGACCAATGCTCTGGAGGACATAGGTTGTAAATCTTGGCAGTGTCTGTGGAGCTCACTATGCAAGTACATATAGTTCCGGGGTGGTCACTGCCTTCACCTAGATTTCAAAGGATGGAGCTGCCTGAAGCCTCATGCAAATGGCCCACGAAGAGAACTGACAGAAAGGTAGAATCACACAGAGGTCCCAATAGGTCAGTTCCCAGTGGAACCATAGGGGCAGGGCTGCCCCTGAGACCCCAGGCCAGCAGAGCCACTAGACAGTGATTCTATTATGGGAGAGCCATGGGCACATAACTCCAACCTATGAGAACTGCCATGTGGGCTGCACTCAGCAATGGGACTACCCACAGCCCTGGATGCCCAGGGACCACTCCAATGTGCCTGGAAAGTAGAATATATTAAACCAAAAAAGATCATTCTTAAGCTTTCAGATTTAATGTTGTATGCACTGTTGGGTTTTGGACTTACTGTTGCTGCTTTCCTCCTTCCTATTGCTCCCTTTTGGAATGAAAATGTCTATCCTATGCCTGTCCTACTATTATCGTTTGGAAGCATATAACTTGTTTGATTTCATAGGCTCACAGCTGGAAAGAAATTTGCTTCCAGATAAACCATACCTTGAGTCTTACCCGTATCTGACTTAGATGACATTTAGATGAGACTTTGAACTTAGACTAAAGTCGATGCTGAAATGTGTTAAGGCTGGGGATTATTAGGATGGAATGAATGTATTTTGCATGTAAAAAGAGCATAAATTTGGAGGCCACGGGTAGAAGGCTATGATCTAAATGTAAGTGTTCCTCCAAAATCCATATGTTGAAATCTAATCTCCTATTAATAGGTGAAGCCTTTGGAAGATGACTAGGTCATGAGGGCAGAGCCTTTGTGAATGAGATTAGTGCCCTTATAAAGAGGCCTTAGGGAACCAGTTTAACACTTTTTGTCCTTTCTTCATAGAAGAACACAGCTAGAAGACACCATCCATGAGGCAGAGAGCTAACCCTCATCAGACATCAAAACTGATGGCACCTTAATTGTGCCCTTCTCACTCTCTAGAATTGTGAGCAATAAATTTCTGTTGCTTAGAAATTGCCCAGTCTGAAGCATTTTGTTATGGCCGCCTGAATGGACTAAGTCAGGGAGGTAAGACTAATATGCCAAAAGAGTGACTACAAACTCATATGAATTTAATAAAAGTATGTAATACAGCCACCGCTTAATATCATATTAAGAAGGTGAGAAGCGTCCAGAGAAGGGAGGTACAACTCTGTGGGATGTAGTTATCAGACAACGCTTTATGAAAGAGGAAAACAAATAGAATTGGAAATTTAAAAATGTGGAGTTATAGCCTATGGCTGCCACTTAGCTGCCAAGTAAACTTGAATAAGCTAAATCTTCTTCTTGCTCCTCAGATCCCTCACAGAATACAGAGATTATCTAGTGAGGGTAGTGAGGATGATGACGGTATGAAGACCATAAATGACAATAGTATCATTTCATGATATTTTCAGATGTTATAAGGTTATAAAAGGTTTTGGAGGGAGGTCTGACTTAAAGACTGTGCTTCAGTGTACTAAAATTATTTTCACTTCCTCTGTACCATAATCACTTCCACTTATTTTGCAGTTATTCCTGTCATGAACTGTTGAAAGGACTTCTCACATTATCTCAAACAATCCTCAAAACTTCCATGAAGTAGATAGGTCATCCTAATTTTATACATGAATTGTTCATAAAAGAAAGAAATTTAAAAATGGGCAATGCAAAAATGGTTTCATATGTATAATAATGTTATCATGTAAAGTTATCCGTGATATATGTATATCATGTTAGACATGATACATGTAATGTAATTGCTGCTACTGCCAATGACTAGTTCCTTTGTCTGCAGAAGTCAGCATCTTACCTAGCCTAGAATACACTTTCAATATGCATCTTTATATAGAAAAGACAAATGCATGGATAAATAAAAATGTATATATATTATTGAACCTGAGTTTTTAGGGTGGAAAAAAATACATACTTAACAGAGTGTGGAATAGCAAGTTAAGGACCTGCAAGAAGAGTGCGCTAAAAAGTCAGTTAGTTAATTCTTGCAAAGCACTGTGAACAATACCTGAGAAGTACTGAGCCTCTAGTACAGACAAACCATTCTGAGCAGTCTGTGCTTTAGCAAGCTGTATTTGAAAAAAGGTTAAGGTAAAGGGAATAGAGATGCCACTAAGAACATTTGCATAGAATTTTATTGGGTTTAAAACAATTTTGTATGTGTTAATTCATATAATACTTATTTCATCCTTTGAGACAAAGAGATGTTCTCTGTTTAAATGAGAACCATGGAGGTTAAAAAGCTCTTATTCTCATAGCAGTGAAAGAGGGCTACAGCCACACTTGCAGTGCTGTGATCTTTCCTCTACATTCTCCCATCCCCTGACCTTTAAGTTACTTGGCCACAGTGTATTTGCTTCATATTCTTCTTTCTTATCTCTGAGTATCCTGAGGGGCTTCGTCAATTGCATGTTAAATTCTAGCTTCCCTCATCTGTCATTCCCTATTCCACCACACAGGGAACCCTATCCAACAGCAACAAGCACAAAACACTGATCCTTTTGACCTTTCCTCCTCTGCTAGAGTGAAAGGATTAGAAAGCAAAGGAATGGAGGAATTCAGAGGTGACCCTTAGGTAATACGGAACAGGGAGAAGGGAGAAAACAAAGATATGATTGTATGGAAATCTTTTACAGATTTATTCATTTGGGTAAGCGTTGTTTCTATTTTTTTCTGGTGGATAAATTGATCTGAATGTTCATAAAAACTTTTTGAGAATTTTTTTTCTTTTATCAAAGGATTTTTCCCACTATTGTTTTGTTAATGATAACGATGATGATAATGATAATACGATTTCGTATTTATGGTACCTTAGATCTCATTTGATCTTTGTAACAACATAAAAAAATAAAAAGTAAACAAGGTTCAGAGTGAAGAAATAACTTCTGTAAGGTCATAGAGCTTAAAAGAGAAAGCACAACTGGATCCTGAAGCCCCATACTCTTTTCATTGTCATATTCTATGTTTAGGATGCAGGAACTCTGCCATTATAACGACCTTGGAAACAATTAACCCATCTTGAGTTAGAAACAATTTATATAAATATACAAGGATGCCACAAAGCAAGCCCTTCCATTTCATATTCATTTGAACAGGTACACAACCATGGGACTTCATACAATGGAACAACAAAATTTTTTTTTTTACCATGAATGAATTTGACATCAATTTCAAAGAAACAAAATCTAAGGAGAAAAAAAATCAGGTTAGCCTGACAGTTTGCTGGGTGAGAAGTGGAACCACAACCACATGTCTGCAGACTGCTTTTTTGTCAGAAGACACTGTTTGGTTTGCAGCATTTCTTCAAGCTTGCTTTCAATAGTGAACTGATCATGACTACTACTTGGAAACTGCGTTTTATTTTCAAGCACATTTTGCCTTAAAGACATACTCAAGTTCCCCAAAACTGTCTTGTTAATAAAAGACTTCCCTGCTTCATCTTCAGGGAGGCAGAGCAATGTCATGAAATGGCCTTTGGAGTTGGAGAGAACTGGTTTCAAATTCTGGCTCTGATACTTTCTACCTTTGTTACCTTGGGCAAACTGCAGAAAATGAAAATAATAATGCTGGCTCTGTAGAGTTTTATAAGGCTAAATGAAAACTTTTCTCCCAATGCTTGAAATTATATTAAAATTCAATGAATAATACTTATTTTTAAGCTTTAAATATTTATAAAGTAAAATGTGAGTGAGTACCCTACCTCAAAAATGGTGCTCAATAAATATCTGTAGAATTATAGAAATTGCAGCTGTTGTCTTAAATTATATAAGTCAAATGCAAATTTTGACTATCTGTATCAAGAAATGATGTTGGACTGAATAACTGAGATTGGCAGGGTCCAGCCTGAGATGGAAGAGTAATGGCTTACTCTTTTATCTTTGCTATTAAGTGCTGTAGCTAGCTGATATTCACACATTTGTGATCCCAGAGAAAGCTCTCAGCATTTGTTCTGCCATCTGGAAGATGGGGGATAAGATAACAACATAGCCTTTCCACCATATAGGATTTTGATGAGGATTAACTCAGATATGGTATTTGAAAATGTATGTAAACTCTAAAGTGCCATACCAATATAAAGAAGCATCATCATTACTGTCACGTCTTGTCCTGATTGTTGATGAGGTTTGTGCACCATAGATCAGCTGTTTCTTCAGGAATGCAGATTTCACAACAATATTTTTACAGCTTAAAATAAAGCATAGCATCAAACTGGAATGCTTAAGATCAGCATGGAAAGACCATCTAAGGGATTTTGTTGTTATCTGTGTTTTGTTTTTTTTCCCCATGAAAAGTGCATTTGTTAACTCCAAGTGTGCATTATTTTCTTTGTTCTAATTCAGAAATGACATAGTAAGAAAAAAATCCTGCTCTCAGTATATTTCCAACTTGTTCAAACATAAACAAATTTTGGTCCAACTTGTTCTTATGAGATTTTAGCACTGTTTCTTGGTTGAAAGAGGGGAATAAATACTGGGGGTCTTGTTTTCAAATTTGTCATTTTATTTATAGGTTGGAATTTGCCTTTAAACTTTTCATATTACTGAATTGAAGGAAAATATCCTGGACAAGAGTCCCCATCATTACTCATATTTCCAATGAGGCACAGCATAGCAGGGCAGGAGAGAACAGAAGATGGCCACCTAGGCTGAGGAGGCAAGACAGCCAGGGAAGGTTTCCTGAAGGAAGGTGTACACTTACATGTCACTAAATTTAAAAACACGTAAAGTTTTTCAAAATCACTAGCCAGGTGTATTTCAGAAAATGCTATTCTAGAAAAGAATTCTATCAGTCAGAGAGGTGAATGTGACAAGGGAGGCAAGTCAGGGAGACGGCAGTGTGACCTGCAATGGCCAGCTTTGAAGGAAGAAGTCATGAGCCAAGAAGTGCAGGCAGTCCCTAGAAGCTGAGAAAAGCACAGAAAATCCTTCCATGGAGTTTCCAGAAAGGAATGCAGTCCTGCTGACACCTTGTCTTTAGTCCAGTGAGACCTATCTCGAATCTGACCTACAAAACCATAAGATGGCCAAATAGGAACAGCTCTGGTCTGCAGCATCCAGCGAGATAAATGCAGAAGGCAGGTGATTTCTGCATTTCCAACTGAGGTACATAGCTCATCTCACTGAGACTGGTCAGACAGTGGGTGCAGCCCATGGAGGATGAGCCAAAGCAGGGTGGGGCATCGCTTCACCCAGGAAATGAAAGAGGTAGGGTTACTCCCTCCCTTAGACAAGGGAAGCTGTGAGGGACTGTGCCTTGAGGAACGGTGCACTCCAGCCCAGATACTATGCTTTTCCCACAATCTTCACAACCCACAGACCAGAAGATTCCCTTGGGTGCCTATGCCACCAGGGCCCTGGGTTTCAGGCACAAAACTGGGCAGCCATTTGGGCAGACAGCAAGCTAGCTGCAGGAGTTTTTGTTTGTTTGTTTTTGTTTTTGTTTTTCATACCCCAGTGGTGCCTGGAACACCAGCAAGACAGAACCATTCATTTCCCTGGAAAGGAGGCTGAAGCCAGGGAGCAAAGTGGTCAAGCTCAGCAGATCCCACCCCCACAAAGACCAGCAAGCTACTATCCACTGGCTTGAAATTCTCTCTGCCAGCGTAGCAGTCTCAAGTCGGCCTAGGACGCTCCAGATTGGTAGGGGTAGGGGCGTCCACCATTACTGAGGCTTGAGTAGGCAGTTTTCCCCTCACAGTGTAAACAAAGCCGCAGGGGAAGTTCCAACTGGGCGGGGCCCTCCACAGCTCAGCAAAGCCAATGTAGCCAGACTGCCTCTCTCGATTCCTCCTCTCTGGGCAGGGCATCTCTGGAAAAAAGGTGGCAGCCCCAGTCAGGGGATTATAGATAAAACACTCATCTCCCTGGGACAGAGCACCTAGGGGAAGGGGCAGCTGTGGGTGCAGCTTCAGCGGACTTAAGCATTCCTGCCTGCTGGCTCTGAAGAGAGCAGCGGTTCTCCCAGCACAGCACTCAAACTCTGCTAAGGGACAGACTCCCTCCTCAAGTGGGTCCCTGACCCCCGTGCTTCCTGAAAGGAGAGACACCTCCCAGCAGGGGTTGACAGACACCTCATACAGGAGAGCTCTGGCTGGTATCTGGTGGGTGCTCCTCTGGGACAAAGCATCCAGAGGAAGGAACAGGCAACAATCTTTGCTGTTCTGCAGCCTCTGCTGGCGACACCCAGGAAGACAGGGTCTGGAGTGGACCTCCAGCAAACTCTGATGGACCTGCAGCAGAGTTGCCTTACTCTTAGGAGGAAAACTAACTAACAGAAAGGAGGAACATCAACATTAACAAAAAAGATGTCCATGCAGAAACCCCATCCGAAGGTTACCAACATCAAAGTTCAAAGGTAGGTAAACCCACAAAGATGGGGAGAAACCAGCACAAAAAGGCTGAAAATTCCAAAAGGCAGAATGCCTCTTCTTTTCCAAAGGATTACAACTCCTCACCAGCAAGGGAACAAAACTGGATGGAGAATGAGTTTGATGAATTGACAGAAATAGGCTTCAGAAGGTGGGTAACAATGAACTCCTCTGAGCTAAAGGAGCCTGTTCTAACCCAATGCAAGGAAGCTAAGAACCTTGAAAAAAGGTTAGAGGAATTGCTAACTAGAGTTACCCACAAAGGGAAGCCCATCAGACTAACAGCGGATCTCTCTGCAGAAACCCTACAAGCCAAAACAGAGTGGGGGCCACTATTCAATATTCTTAAAGACAAGAATTTTCAACCCAGAATTGAATATCCAGCCAAACTAAACTTCATAAGTGAAGGAGAAATAAAATCCTTTACAGACAAGTAAATGCTGAGAGATTTTGTCACTACCAGACCTGCCTTACAAGAGCTCCTGAAGAAAGCACTAAACATGGAAAGGAACAACTAGTACCAGCCAGTGCGAAAATACACCAAATTATAAAAACCATTGACACTATGAAGAAACTACATCAACTAATGGTCAAAATAACCAGCTAGCAACATGATGACAGGATCAAATTCACACTTAACAATATCAGCCTTAAAAGTAAATAGGCTAAATGCCCCAATTAAAAGACATAAACTGGCAAATTGGATAAAGAGTCAAGATCCATTGGTGTGCTGTGTTCAGGAGACCCATCACATGTGCAAAGACACACATAGGCTCAAAATAAAGGGATAGAGGAAGATTTATCAAGAAAATGGAAAGCAAAAAAAGCAGGGGTTGCAATCCTAGTCTCTGATAAAACAGACTTTACAAGAACAAAGATCAAAAGAGACAAAGAAAGGCATTACATAATGGTAAAGGGATCACTGCAACAAGAAGAGCTAACTATCCTAAATATATATGCACCCAATACAGGAGCACCCAGATTCATAAAGCAAATTCTTAGAGACCTACAAAGAGACTTTGACTCCCACATAATAATAGTGGGAGACTTTAACACCCCACTGTCAATATTAGACAGATCAATGAGAGAGAAAATCAACAAGGATATTCAGGACTTGAACTCAGCTCTGGACCAAGCAGACCTAACAGTCATCTACAGAACTCTCCACCCCAAATCAACAGAAGACACATTCTTTTCAGCACCACATTGCACTTTTTCTAAAATCGACCACATAATTGGAAGTAAAACACTCCTCAACAAATGCAAAGGAACAGAAATCATAACAAACAGTCTCTCAGACCACAGTGCAATCAAATTAGAACTCAGGATTAAGAAACTCGCTCAAAATGGCACAACTACAAGGAAACAGAACAACCTGCTCCTGAATGACTACTGAGTGAATAATGAAATGAAGGCAGAAATAAATAAGTTCTTTGAAACCAATGAGAACAAAGACACAATGTAACAGAATCTCTGGGAAACAGCTAAAGCAGTGTTTAGAGGGAAATTTATAGCACTAAGTGCCCACAAGACAAAGCAGGAAAGTTCTAAAATTGACACTCTAACATCACAATTAAAAGAACTAGAGAAGCAAGAGCAAACAAATTCAAAAGCTAGCAGAAGACGAGACTTAACTAAGATCAGAGAAGAACTGAAGGAGATTGAGACACGAAAATCCCTTCAAAAAAATCAATGAAGCCAGGAGCTGGTTTTTTGAAAAGACCACTCGCCAGACTAGTAAAGAAGAAAACTGAGAAAAATCAAATAGATGCAATAAAAAATGATAAAGGGGATATCACAACTGATCTCACAGAAACACAAACTACCATCAGAGAACACTATAAACACCTCTACACAAATAAACTGGAAAATCTAGAAGAAATGGATAAATTCCTGGACACATACACCCTCCCAAGTCTAAACCAGGAAGAAGTCAAATCCCTGAATAGACCAATAACAAGATCTGAAATTGAGGCAGTAATTAATAGCCTATCGACCAAAAAAAGTCCAGGACTGGACGGATTCACAGCCAAATTCTACCAGAGGTACAAAGAGGAGCTGGTACCATTCCTTCTGAAACTATTCCAAACAATAGAAAAAGAGGGACTCCTCCCTAACTCATTTTATGAGGCCAGAATCATCCTGATACCAAAACCTGGCAGAGACAAAACAAAAAAAAAGGAAAATTTCAGGCCAATATCCCTGATGAACATCAATGCAAAAATCCTCAATAAAATACTGGCAAACTGAATCCAGCAGCACATCAAAAAGCTTATCCACCGTGATCAAGTCGGCTTCATCCCTGGGATGCAAGGCTGGTTCAACATACGCAAATCAATAAATGTAATCCATCACATAAACAGAACCAATGACAAAAACCACATGATTATCTCCATAGATGCAGAAAAGGCCTTTGATAAAATTCAACACCCCTTCATGCTAAAAACTCTCAGTAAACTAGGTATTGATGGAACATATCTCAAAATAATAAGAGCTATTTATGACAAACCCACAGCCAATCTCATACTGAATGGGCAAAACTGGAAGCATTCCATTTGAAAACTGGCACAAGACAAGGATACCCTCTCTCACCACTCCTATTCAACATAGTATTGGAAGTTCTGGCCAGGGCAATCAGGCAAGAGAAGGAAATAAAGGGTATTCAGATAGGAAGAGAGAAAGTAAAATTGTCTCTGTTTGCAGATGACATGATTATATATTTAGAAAATTCCATTGTCTCAGCCCAAAAGCTCCTTAAGCCAATAACTAACTTCAGCAAAGTCTCAGGACAAAACATCAATGTGCAAAAATCACAAGCATTCCTATACATCAATAATAGACAGAGAGCCAGATCATGAGTGAACACTCATTCACAAATGCTACAAAGAAAATAAAATACCTAGGCATAAAACTTATAAGGGATGTGAAGGACCTCTTCAAGGAGAACTACAAACCAATGCTCAAAGAAATAAGAGAGGACACAAACAAATAGAAAAACATTCCATCCTCATGAATAGGAAGAATCAATATAATGAAAATGGCCATACTGCCCAAAGTAACTTATAGATTCAGTGCTATCCCCATCAAGCTGCCATTGACTTTCTTCTCACAATTAGAAAAAATTACTTTAAATTTTATATGGAACCAAAAAAGAGTCCGCATAGCCAAGACAACTCTAAGCAAAAAGAACAAAGCTGAAGGCATCACGCTTCCTGACTTCAAACTATACTACAAGGCTACAGTAACCAAAACAGCATGGTACTGGTAGCAAAACAGATATATAAGCCAGCGGAAGAGAACAAGGGCCTCAGAAATAACACCACACATCTACAACCATCTGATCTTTGACAAACCTGACAAAAACAACCAATGGGGAAAAGATTCCCTATTTAATAAATGGTGTTGGGAAAACTGGCTAGCCATATGCAGAAAACTGAAACTGGACCCCTTCCTTACACCGTATACAAAAATTAACCCAAGATGGATTAAAGACTTAAATGTAAGACCTAAAACCATAAAAACCCTAGAAGAAAACCTAGGCAATACCATTCAGGACATAGGCATGGGCAAGGACTTCATGTCTAAAACACCAAAAGCAATGGCAACAAAAGCCAAAATTGACAAATGGGATCTAATTAAACTAAAGAGCTTCTGCACAGCAAAAGAAACTACCATCAGAGTGAAAAGGCAACCTACAGAATGGGAGAAAATTTTTGCAATCCATCCATCTGACAAAGGGCTAATATCCAGAGTCTACAAAGAACTTAAACAAATTTACAAGAAAAAAAAAAACCCATCAAAAAGTGGGTGAAGGATATGAACAGACACTTCTCAAAAGAAGACATTTGTGTAGCCAACAGACATATAAAGAAAAGCTCATCATCACTAGTCATTAGAGAAATGCAAATCAAAACCACAATGAGATACCATCTCACACCAGACAGAATGGCAATCATTAAAAAATCAGGAAACAACAGTTGCTGGAGAGGATGTGGAGAAATAGGAACACTTTTACACTATTGGTGGGAATGTAAATTACTTCCATTTTGGAATACAGTGCGGTGATTCCTCAAGAATCTAGAGCTAGAAATACTATTTGACCCAGCAATCCCATTATTGGGTATATACCCAAAGGATTATAAATTATTCTGCTATGAAGACACATGCACATATATGTTTATTGTGACACTGTTCACAATAGCAAAGACTTGGAACCAACTCAAATGCCCATCAATGATAGACTGGATAAAGAAAATGTGGCATATATACACCATGGAATACTATGTAGCCACAGAAAAGGATGAGTTCATGTCCTTTGCAGGGACATGGATGCAGCTGGAAACCATCATTCTCAGCAAACTAACACAAGAACAGAAAACCAAACACTGCATGTTCTCACTCATAAGTGGGAGTTGAACAATGAGAACACATGGATGCAGGGAGGGGAATATCACACACTGGGGCCTGCCTGGGGTGGGGGGCTAGGGGAGGGACAGCATTAGGAGAAATACCTAACGTAGATCATGAGTTGATGGGTGCAGCCAGCCACCATGGCATGTGTATACCTATGTAACAAACCTGCATGTTCTGCACATGTACCCTGAACTTAAAGTATAATAATAAAAAAAATTCCATCTTTACCTTCTCCCATGTATTACATACACCCTGACTGATTTGATACTAATTTTCTTTGCATTTGTTTTAAAGTCTAAAACTAATTATTTACCTGTTGATCTATTGGAAAACTTCAAGAGGCAAAACTGAGAGTTGGATTTCGTAAAGGAACTGATTATTAATTCTTACGGCTATTGAAAGCAGTTTGGATAAGTCATTTTGTTTCACTACATTAAAAAAAATTTTTGAAAATTATCTAAAGTGTGGCATCTTCCTCAAGGTATCCCATGCCACATGCCAAATAAAAATATTGATGTGGTCTGCTGCACTATTCCACTAACATTTATTTTGAAGTCATACATTTTCCTCTTATCTTAGAGAAAAAAAAAACCCTTCCACCTGCATAATTTATAATTTAAGAAGTTTTGTTAGATCAAAAGGAAAGAAAGAATGAACAGAAGCAAAGAGTGTAAAAAGCTTTAATATTTGGGTGATAGCACCATACTTTGTGTGGCCTTTCTCCCTGCTGCTGTAAGCAGAAGCAGAAAAAAGAAACCAGAGAGAGTGTGATTTGTTCAAGGTTGTTCAATGTGAGTCAGAAAAGACTGGCTATTTGAATGCAAGACAGAGCCAACATCTTTTTCCCCTATAAAGGTATTTTTGTATGTGATTGGTTTCAATCCCAACAAGTAAACACAATCACATTTCATACATTTCAAGCAGCAAACAAGGCATAACTGTTTTTCTTAAGGGGAGGAGTGTTGGGAGTCTTCAGGGGAGAAATTCTTACTATATAACAAAATATATAAAAATGCTACTCAATGAGAGGGTGGTAGAGATGTGTATGGGCTCCTTGGAACAAATATTGAGGGTTGGAAGCGACCGGGTGGAAGTGCACGTAGAGATTATGAGGGAGAAGGAACTGGGGGGACAGTTTGTGCTACTGCTCCCTGCAACTTCTTAAGGGCCTTTATACTTTCCACTTCTGTGAGGCCTTCTAATGCCTCCTCACCCTCCCTAACTATCCCAAGTAAATCATGTCTCCATGGTTCACAGCTAGTCCATGTGTAAGACAATATAACCTTCTGATTAAAAGCTCATCTATACAGTTAAATAGCACTGCACTCAAATCCAAAAGCAATTTGCTACCAGTTTAGGGGCTTTTGGCAAGCTAATTCAGCCCTCTTAGCCTCAGGCTTTCCCATATGAAAAAAAAAATGGGAATAACAGTGTCTGCTGCAGAGGTTCTTATAGAATTAAAAGAGAGAATCCATGCATGTGCTCAATGCACTGCCTGACAGTGATGAATAAATGGCAGAAAGTGTTATCACTTTCATGGCATATTTTGTATATATCGTTTTCATTCGCTTGTCTTCACATGAAGAATGTTGGCTTTCTCAAATAGCCTGTAAGTAAAACATGAGGTTACTTTGAAGCCTATCCAGTAGACTTTGATCCTGAATTAGAGTTTCTTCTCATTAAAGAATTTAG
The DNA here is from genome assembly GCF_000001405.40 of Homo sapiens. Lineage (NCBI taxonomy): Eukaryota > Metazoa > Chordata > Mammalia > Primates > Hominidae > Homo > Homo sapiens. The sequence goes on from NC_000011.10 coordinate 80,512,717, forward strand.
CCATAATCCTGAGCCATCTGTGGCTGAGAATAAATCTGCTCTGTCCAGAAGTGACATTCCATTCCTTTATAACCTCTCTTTTCTTTTGCCCATGTTGGGCTCAGAATGAGATACTCCAAAATTAAGAAAATAGCGGAAGCATCAAGGTCTCTCTGACTTCTCCTGGTTTCTTCCCCTGAAGATTGGCATATGATAGGTGTCCTGTCCTGTATCCAGAGGGAAGCAATGCCATGCAGTGATGCCAAGAAGAAACTGAACAAATAGCCCTTGCTAAGCTCCCCTCAGGTTATTGCCATTAGATCATAAGCTTTTGTCCTCCAATCATACTTCTGCATGACTGTCGGTAAAAATTTGCAGTTTTCCCTGGGAACTTTGTCTTCATTTCTGAAGACTCCCATGTCATATAACATTTTCATTAAATACATTTGTTATGCTTTTCTTTTGTTGCTCTGTCTTTTGTTATAGGGTGGGGAAATAAATTTTTTTCTCCCATACCCATCTTGTCTACCCCAGGATGTATCCTCCCTACTGAAAGACCTTATTCATAAACTCACATGTTGCTCTATGTTTGTAGACTGCTAACCTAATCCTTAGCTATTAGGAAATCATTGTAATATTTTTTTGACATGTCGTCTCACTGTGTTGTCCAGGCTGAAGTGTAGTGGCACCATCTTGACTCACTGCAACCACCGCCTCTCAGGTTCAAGTGATTCTCCTGCCTCAGCCTCCCGAGTAGCTGGGATTACAGACACCTCCCACCATGTTGTTTGGTTCACCCTATGGAGTCAACATTTTTCAGTAATGGGAAGGGTTATAAAATCCCTTTGGCAGGAATGAGCTTAGTTTGATGATGAAATTCCACTGGACAGCACCATGATATTCTCTATATAAAACCATTTAACCTCCACGGACAGATGGACATTGGAACATTATTATTATTATTATTATTATTATTATTATTATTATTATATGTTCAACATTGTTTAAGTTGTTCAGTTACTTCTGGAGAGAGGTAGAGCTGTGATATCCTGATTTTTAAGCTACTAAGTTTTCATCTTTCATCCTCAGTCTCTAGTACAAAGAGACTGAGGACAAATTTCAGAGGAAGAAGGATTACAGTCAGGCCTAACATTATAGTAAGGGAATCTGAAAATGCAACTGAAAATTTTTAGAGCTTATTCTAAGGAATAGCATTTGAGTAAATTATAAGGAAATATAGGGTTAAGTCAGATGGAAGCGGTAGAGAGAAAATAGGGTTAGAATATAAGTCATTAAAGCCAGCACGAATAAGAAAGAACATGAAGCAGAGTAGAGGCTGGCAGAAGAGACTGTTAGTTTTGTTGCTGAGGTTCTAAGTCACTGGAGATGTGAAAGGTTAGGTAGTAGACAAGAGGTGGGAGTTGCCATCATGAGGAACTCTCAGACCTCCAAGGCCCAGAGACTGCACTGGAGCCACTTAGGAAAAACCTACCTTTCTTTGGCTCCTCTTGTCTGTTACAGGATGTTTTCTTCTTAATAGAGGACCTTATTCCTAAGCTTGGACAGTTTTGTGTCTTACTCTTCACCCTTTCCACCCATCTCAACCGGGTAAGAGTTGGTACAGAGAAAATAACAATTCACCAAAGCTAAAGTCGGCTATGAATGCAGAGGAGTTAATTTGGTTATGTAAGAATAACAGAATTAAGGAAAAGGAATGCAAGGCATAAAGTGGAAACAAGAGACCCCTAAAGAAGTTTTGGCATGAAAGTGGAAGAAAGGTATTGGAAAGGTTTTCTAGGTAGCAAAAAGCATGGGCAGGTGGATGTGAATCCAGTATGAGATGGGCTTGCCTTTGGAGGACTGGATGGGAAGTAATGTTTTCTTGAGAAAATCACGTTCAATAAAGAAGGATAAGAAATGAGCAGCATGAGTGTTTATTGGATATAACATGTGCTTATTAATTTGTACACATCAACTTATAAAATGTGTACCACATTCCTATGGAATTGGCATTGTTGTCTGAGAAAAAGTATCTTACAGAATAGAACTCTGAGAACAAATTGTATTTTCTCCCCATCTAATGTCTAGGTATAAATCAAAGCCATGCCCCAATATAGATAATTCTGAATGCTGCATTCTTACTTGATATCTTGCCTCTATATTTTCTATTGAGATTAAACATTTTTCACTATTATAACTTTTAACAGATGCATAATATTCCACCTTGTGGTTATGCCATTATTTATTTAACAAACTCCAAATTATTAGGTCGTGGGCTTTCTCCCCAAGGTTTCATTATTTTAAATAATTCCACAGTAAAAATATTGCAGATAAATTTTAAAATTAGTTTTTAATTTTTCCTTAAATGACGACTCCAAATTGAATAAGTAAATCAACAGGCATACATAATTTTAAGACTTTACTTTCATATTTTCTTGCTTCAAAGAAAAGTCATTTAGTTTACACTAGGAAAGCAATTTCAGAACCAGAAACAATAAGACTGAGAAGCCAGTACCTAAAGGCTCTTCTGAGAATTCGGATTGCACCAGAGAAGTCAACACTCACTGGAGCAACACATTATTCTGGCCCTGACCAATCCATTCTCACTTCCCCTGATGCAGAATCAGTTTCAAAGCATGTGTTGTGTCTAGACTGTTTCTATTCAGCTTGCTGAAAAGAATGCCACAACACACCTGTCCCCCAAAATGAGTAGGAAGAGTCTTAATATATCACAGCCCCTTAAGTTCCCTCTCAAGCCAGCAGACAAATTCCTGAGTGATAATTCCAGTCTAGCTATCTTTTCTCACAATCTTACCATTACTCAACAGCATCCCAACCAATACAAAATAATTGTCCATATATTTTCTGTACATATAGGCATACCACACTTCACTAATTTGAGGCCAAAGGATCAAAATAATAATTGCTTTACCCACCTGCATGTTTGCTGTATTTAACTCAGACCTTTGCAAGAATCTGACCAAACAAGGTGCAACCAGACCAAACTAGAAAGCCAGCTTGGTTAAATTTCTGTTCACCACAGGATTGCTGAATATGTGTGTGTTCACAGCAGCCCCCAAATGGCTTACCTCATTCAATCTTGCCTTTTCAGTCCAATCGGTCCAGTGAAAATGTCGACTTATCTGGAAAAGGGGAAATACAGGAGCATAATAAGTAGGACGAAAAATAGAAAGATGTGTAATATAAAGCATGCGGTACTTTTTTCAGTACAAATAATAGAATCTCACTTCATATTTTGGGAAAATAACAAAAAGGCAATAAGAGAAAATCATGTTCTTATCAAGTGACTCAAAATCCCCTACAGAGTTCAGACCCACGTTCAGTCTAGCCTTCAGAAATGACTTGGCAAAATGAAGCAAGAGTCATTTTAGAGTCGTTTAATCTCTAACTTCAATTTTCTTAATAAAAAGAGACACAGCTGTACCTTAGCTCATTAGCTCAGGGAGGGGTCTGGCAAATGAATCCAGTCTAATTACAGAATGCCTGTGAGATAGCAAGTGCAACATGTGTACGATCTTCCACGATCTGACTTCTTCAAAGTTATAACCCACATGTTAATAAGCAACTGAAATTCACGCTGGCATGGAAGCAATGAGTCTAATCCTAAATCTGTAATCAGATACTTGGGCATGAGCAAGTTCCATAGCATGAAAGAATACTGAAAATATTTGAGTGCATTAAAATTTATATATTTCAAAAATTGTAATAAGGTAGGTTTTCTTTATATAAATTAATTATGATTTAAATGCTTTTCTATTTATAAAATAATTAAGAGTATAACTAAATTTCACCAAAAGCCTGTAATTCCTCTAAGATTTTAGAGCTCTATACCTCCAAATTATTTTAACTATTATGATTTAGTATAATGATTGTTTCATTTTAATATCCCAAGAATGTCAGACATTAAGATACAAATTCACATTCATAAAGGTCAGACTAAAAAATCTTCTTTTATATGTGTTTTAATTATCAGGGTAAACATTTTTATTCAAATACACACAGCCCTAACATTACATTTCTGTCTTCAGTATAAATGCTTTTCCGTGTTTTATTTAACAGTTCAAAGAAGACATTTTATGCTTTGCTAGTTATAAAATATATACAACAGTACTATTAGAAATCAATCTTCATTAGGATCATGTGAAAAAAACTGGCATAGAAACTTCCACTAGAAAGAGAAAGGGGATTCTCAGATTTGCAAAGGACATTATTTTAGTTATGATCCACCTAGGTTGGCTTTTTCTCAATACCCTAACATAATAATCCTAACTAAAAATGTTGATCACTAATCAGTGTATTTGATGGTGAGTCTTGAATTTATTAAATTAATCATCAAATTTCTTTTCCAGGTCCCAATTCACATTTACATGTAATCAAAAAGCAGACTTAAAGATATCATTTTAATTATTCATCTGATATGGTTTGGATCTGTGTTCCCACCTAAATCTCATGTTGAAATGTCAACCTCAATGCTGAAGGTGGGGCTTGGTGGGAGGTGTTTGGATCATGGGGCTGGTTTCTCATGGTTTAACACCACCCCTGGTGCTGTCATTGCGATAGTAAGTGCTCCTGAGATCTGGTTGTTTAAAAGTGTGTGGCACCTCCCGGCTCTCCCTCTTCCTCCTGCTCAGACAAGATGAAGTGATGGCTCCTCCTTTGCCTTCTGTCACTAAGTTTCCTGAGCCTTCCCTGAAGCTGATGCTGCCATGATTCCTGTACAGCCCACAGAACGGTGAGCCAATTAAACCTCCTTTCTTAAACCTCCTATTACTTTATAGCAGTGTGAGAAAAAACAAATACAGAAAATTGGTACCAGGAGTTGTGTATTGCTATAAAGATACCTGAAAATGTGGAAGCACCTTTGGAATTGGGTAATGGGCAGAGGTTGGAAGAGTGTGGAGGGCTCAGAAGGTGACAGGAAGATAAGAGAAAATTTGGAACTTCTAGAGATTTGTTGAATGGTTGTAATCAAAATGCTAATAGTCAGTGAAGGCCAGGATGAGGAGGTCTCAGATGGAGATGAGGAACTTATTGGCAATGGAGCAAAGGTCACATTTGGCAAAAAGCTTGTTTGGATTATGCCCCTGCCCTACAGATCTGTGAAACTTTGAACTTGAGAGTGATAATTTAGAGCAGGAGTCCCCAGCCCCTGAGCCACAGACAATTATCAGTCCATGGCCTGTTAAGAGAGGCAAGCAGGCAAGCAAGTGAAGCTTTATCTGTATTTACAGCCACTCCCCATTGCTCACATTACTGCCTGAGCTAGGCCTCCTGTCAGATCAGCAGTGGCATTCAATTCTCATAGGAGCGTGAACCCTATTGTGAACTGCACCTGTGAGGGATCTAGGTTGTCTGCTCCTTATGAGAATCTAACGTCTGATGATCTGTCACTGTCTCCTATTGCCCATGGATGGGACTATCTAGCTGCAGGAAAACAAGTTCAGTGCTCCCATTGATTCTACATTATGGTGAGCTGTATAATTCTTTCACTGTGTCTTACAATGTAATAATAATGGAAATAAAGTGCACAATAAATGTAATGTACTTGAATCACCCTGAAGCCAACCCACCCACCCCCAGTATGTGGAAAAATTGTCATCCACAAAACCAGTCCCTGGTGCCAAAAAGGTTGGGGACTGCTGATTTGGGGTATCTGGTAGAAGAAATGTCCAAGCAGCAAAGCATTCAATTTTTGACCTGGCTGCTTCTGATAGCCCATTTCATATGCATGAGCAAAGAAATTATGTAAAACTGGAAATTATATTTAATAGGAGGCCAGGTGCAATGGGTCACACCTGTGATCCTAGCACTTTGGGAGGCTGAGGCCATCAGATCACCTGAGGTCAGGAGTTCAAGACTAGCCTGGCCAACATGGTGAAACCCTATCTCTACTAAAATACAAAATTTAGCCAGGCATGATGGCGGGTGCCTGTAATCCCAACTACTCAGGAGGCTGAGATGGGAGAATCATTTGAACTCAAGAGACAGTAGTTGCAGTGAGCTGAGATCATGCCATTGCCCTCCAGTCTGGGTGGCTGAGCGAGACTCTGTCTCCAAAAAAAAAAAAAAAAAAAAGAAAAAAAGAAAGTGTTTCTGAATTATAAAATATTATATAAATGTTTGTTTCAAAACTACCTACTTTTGATTAATATAAATGTGCCTGCCTGCATGTTCTCCTCCCTTCCTTGCTTCTTATTGGCATTGGGATACTATTAGCATTTGTTCAGCATTTACTTCAATGAGCATTACCAGGAAATGAGAGCATCAAATTCCAGCCTCCATGAATTTGGTTCCAAATTCCTGAGGGAAGATATCAATTAATTCTAACTTCAGGAACTGAAGACAGCTTCATGGAGAAGGTGACAATAAAATTGGAAAGATGAGTAGATTTTTAGCAGACAGAAAAACTGCTGTGAATGTAGTAGATTTTTAGTTAACGTCTGTACAGTGAAAATCACCTTCAACGAGTCTGCATTTTACCAGGTGAACAGAATCCCTGGAATTTCTATGTTTGTGCTTAAAGATTTTTTTTAAAAGGCTGCATTGGACATGCATATTCTTTGTTCTATGAGCTTTGTACATAAATTATGACTCAAATTAATGAAAGATATAATCCAAACTGATGCAAATGCAAATGCCCTAGTTTTAGACAGCTGCAATGGTTATTTCTATACATCTAGGAAACAGCTGTCGGGTCTCATCTATACACTGGTTTTTGTTCAACTTCAAATGGGTGTCAAGAATAAAAAAAAAATAGTTGATTAGAAGGTGGTACCCATGTCAGTAATACATAAGAGTTTCTAAGCCTTTCTTCCAGCTTCTAAATCACTATCCTCATATGGCACTGGCATGATGGAACAGTCTCACAGATTGCCTTTCTCCATCCAAGCCGTGAGGATGCCCAGGCTGGTTGGAAGGTGTAACCTGTGTAATGATTCCAAAAGCACTCCTCTCCCATGATTACACAGAACAAGTAATGGGATAGTCATTTTCAAGGCCAGGCATAAGTGATTACTCACCAAGATGCAGAGGTTATGATAGGAAAGCCCCACGCTGATGCTGACAGTCAGAAGCAAGGTGCAGGGCTTGACCCTTTATTGCAAGAAGCTGCAGAGACCATGCATCTGAGCCAGACAGCTGACGAGACGCCTTCTCCTTGGGATTCACACCACAACAATAGGCTAATAGATTTATGCCATAAAGGCAGTGACCTCTGTGGTCAGAAACATTTTCTCACAGGAGAGAAAAAGGTTCCATACGCCCCTGTGTGCTACAGTTTTGACAGTGACTGACAGCATGGGCTGGCCAGAGTCTCCAGGAAGCCATATTCACAGACTTTTGCACTGTTACCCTTTGATTAACTTCTGACACACTTTGCAACATAAAACTCTTACAAGGAAATTGCTCTGTAATGCTGGCTGTAACATCTAGAAACTTTGCCAAGGAGAGCTAAAATGTACCCCAAAGCAGTGTGGCCTGAAATAATATCCACGTGCATGTATGTGTGTGGGGAACACACTTTGGGCTTTAAATTTTCAGACTCATAATGCTATTACTTAAGTGCAATATTTAGAAAAAGATTCTCACACGTTATAAGCATATTGCACATGAAGAGACTTAAGCAATGCCAAGATGAAAATAAATAATGTATGAAGTCAGAGGCCTGAAGCAAATGTTAACTAATTTCAAAATGGGTCAAAATCACAACAATTAAGTCCCTGACATGTGAAGTCATTTTTTTCCTTCCTAAAATATTAACCAACTTGCTTCACTTCTTCTAGATTGATTGGTAGAGCATGAAAGGTCATTTTCGTGGCAGAGGGGGAATTTGGCTTCTACAAGCCATACATAATGAGAGCCAATAAATTAGGTAAAGCTCCTGTTTACCTAAGCTGAAATATTGATGTCCAAGACCACATCGAATGCAAATCTCTACATTAATCATTTTTCCCCAGTTGGGAAATTCAGACCATGGTAACACATGCTATGATAGACCTATACATCATAGTTACAGCAACATTAGACAGTGCCTCAGTGACAGAATACAAATATATTGCATTGGATTTCCTTCATTTTCCCCAGCCTGACTTTCATTTGTGTCTGCAAACTCTGCTCTGGGTGTGTGAGGTTTTGACACAGGTTTGGGTGATATTTTTGGTCTAGGAAATAAGTGAAAATTGATAACAAGAATTTTCTTCGGTTGGTTACCTGCCAAGCAAATCTGGAGGAGGCTCACATCTAGTTCATTAAGCATAGCACTTTGATGAACACATACCCTGTGTTCAGTCTTCTCCCACTCCAACAGTAATATGGTCTGTGTTTCCCAGAGTGGGATTCATGAACCATCTGTGTCAGATCACCTGGGTGCTTGCTGGGAAATGCAGTTTCCTAGGCTTCATCATAATCAATCAGATTTTCTTAGGGTGGGGCCAGGGAATCTTGTACAAGATCCTCAGTTGTTTATTATACACACTGTTGTTTGATAACTGATATAGCCAGCTATCATCTGTAGGCTTCTAAAAACTACCCTGTCCTGCCACTTTTCTGCTGAAAGTCTTTCCTCTCCCATATATGGTCCAAACCTCTACTTAGCCCTCTTTTCCTTCTCTAGAGGCATGTCTCACACAGTCTTATCTACTTTTAAGGTTATTCTCTCTATATGCAGAAGACTCTCAAATTGCTATTTCCAACAGTGATGTTCTATCTCAGCTTCCAATTCATATATGAAAATGCCTGCTGAAACTGTTCACCTGGCACTAGAAAGACAGTGTGGCCAAACTGAACTCATTCCTCTTTCATTGCTATCACACAGCCAGACAGAAACCCTGATGCTCTCATTCATTCTTCTGTCTCCCTTTTATTTTCAACACATACGTCATTAAATAAATAGCCTGTATCATCTACTCATAGTCTCCACGATGGCTTATTCTCTTCTTTCTTTTCTACCCCTGTGCAAAGTCCAGGCCTTCCTCATTTCTCAGCTGTACCATTGTAACAGACCTCTAAACTAGTGTTCCTGTCTTTTGTCTTGAACTTCTCAAATCAGTCTTCTACATGGTGGCTGAACAGGTTTTCTAAAAATAAATCTGACTGAGTCACTTGTTTCCTTAACACTATGAGAACATTCCTCCTGCAGGACAAAAATCTAGGTTTTCTGGCCTGACTCTCCTGCCCATTTCTAGCCTATCCATACTCGATTTTCGTCAATCATTACCTGGATTTTCCTTCAACACAACCATTTATAGTAACCTTATACCTTGCCTTTCCTCCCATTTCCCTCTGCCTGGAGTACCCTTTTCTTGACTATTTTCACTCATATTATTACTCAATAATTATAATGATGCTTATAAATGTTACTTTATAACACAATTATCTAATATGAATACTTACTCTATGCCAACTATTGAGTTAAATTTTTCTTTTGATCCTCACAAGGATCAAAATGTGATAACCTACATTAGTAGGCTTTTCAAGAAGCCTCCTTTCGTCACTTTTTTAAGGCTTTCCTTAATCTCTAGTCTGACTACTTCTTACCTTATTACCACCAACACGCTGTGTGCTTACTTCAGCCAAAACATTTAGCCTAATATACTAAAATAGTATGTTTATATTCTCCACTCTCTTTTCATCACTAAATTACCTGATTCACAAGAGCAGAGCATGTCTTATTCAGATCTATTTTCAAACCATGTAGTCCGAGCTGCCCAAGTAACGTTTTTTTAACTCAAGAGATCTGATTCATGGCCATAGAGAATATCACTGTGAGTGGCTCTTCTCAGCATATTAACTAAGAGACTTTTGATCTGAGACCTTGAACTTCAAGCGGAGAGGCAGGACCATGTTCATGTTTGTATCTCCCTTTAGTGCCTAGTCCTGCATATTTTATATGATCATTGCTCAAAAGTGTTGGTACAAATTTAACTGCTACTATGTGGATTTCAGGAATATTAAAATGATGATCAGCTCTGCTAAATTTTAGAAATATAGAGTACACAAAGTCACTGTTAAAAACAAAATGATTAGGCACTCTAGCCTCACGATGTCAGAAGGGATATTCATTAAACATAATGGATTTGTGAGTGTCAGACAGAATAAATGTATGAACTCACAAAAAGGGCAAAGGGGAATGGATCCCCGTTGTGAGAAAAGGGCAAATGGCACCTTGTAGAGCCAGAAACCCCAAGAATTAAGGGGCTCAATGGGATGGGGTTTTTTTTTTTAACAACTGTTTAAATTTTTTTCTGTAATGGCATACTTTTGGTACATTTAATTATATCTGAATATGATCATAAAATAGTATAATAATAATGAAATATTGCTCAACTTATTGAGTGAATACCTTGGCCCAAGTGTTCTATATAGCTCAATATATCTTCTAGGTATGTATTTTCTCCCATTTTATAAATGAGGAAGCTGAAGTTCAGAAGGGTTTAGTAACTTTCTCAAGATCATATTGCAATGTATTCACATATGATAGTCTGTGTGTTGATTCATTTAACAAGCACATGCTGAGCAATAACTGTGCCAGACATTGAACTAGGAACTAAACATACAAGGATAAGTCAGAAGTTCAAAGAGTTCTCAGTACTGTGATAGAATCATAAAAAGTAACACTTATGATACAATGTGGCATGTACTCTGCGAGAGTGAGCCTATGAGGTCAATGCAGAGGGTCATGGGAACCTGGGAGAGAGGGAGGTAATCTAGCTTGGGATAAAAAACAAACAAACAAACAAACATGTAAAGCATCAGGGAACACTTCCCAAAAAGGCATAAAAAGTCTGACTGTATGAGGCAAGAACCACACTTTAGATGGAGGGAACGACACATGCCATTGACTCAGAAGTCTTCCGTGTCCTATATTTCTCATCACTGCTATCACCAGAATGTGTTTGAGAAGGTAATGGCAGATCATCTTGATTTTACACTCTCAAAGTGGACACCTTGAGAGATGGTGTTCAATGAGGATGAAAAGTATGAGTATGCCACGGAAGAGTGCTTACAATTTGTCCTACGATGCAAATGGTACCCTTTGGTGATTGTGCAGGGCACAACCTGTACATTGTAAATGACAGCCCTGTTCCAAGCATTGTGCTTGGTCCTTAACATATCTAATCTGATTTATTCTTCATGGTGACTCTAAAAGTTGGTTTGCTTGCCTTCATTGTATGGATAAGGAGACTAATACCCCATGAGTTTAAATGACTGTCCAAACATCACACACAGAACAAATAAAAGAGCCAGAATCTTAATCTAGATGTCTATGCCTCCAAAGTCCTTGATCTATCTGCTAGAAAATCAGGAATAAGGAAGAAATTCTGTTTTACCTCTTTGGTGAGCTCTTCTCTGGCATCATAGATGGGTCCTTCCCCCTGACTTCCCAGTCTAGTTCTCACAAGAGACAAGATGAACTGCTGCTTCTATATTAGCTTCTGTAAGAGTACCAGCCTGTCTGGGCCCTATTTTCATTAATCTTTATGCTTTCCCCTGATTTGATTCTCTTTCTTTTACCCTAATTTCCTCCCGAGTCTAGCTAAAAAAAGACCATGCCTTTTGATGACATATGCTAGTAGGTTTGTTCTCATTATGATTGTGTCTATTAAACTGTTCCAATATTAATCTAGGTCATAGAAGACTAATAGAAATCCCCCATTAATGTAATATTTCTTAAGTACTATATGTTGCCGTATTTATAAGAGCTCAGGCAGAGCCAGCAATGGGAACTGTAAACTTATACTAATAAAATAGGAGGGATGATACATACCAGAAGCACAGGTTTCCTTTGAACACCTTTCTATCTCACTTTCAGGACTGTGGGGTTGTTAAGTCTAATTTTATGACCACTATCATGTTGTAAAACTTGTCGGTCTTTGCTGTATCCTCAGACGTGAGGCCTCGCCCATCCCTCTCTTTTCATGTTATTTGAATTCTAGATGTGGGTTAAAATCCCAGAAGTGGTAAGCTTTCTGTTCTGAGCATACTGTGCATTAATCTACTACACACCAAAGTCTATTAATTTTGAATAGTGTTATCAATTATACTGCACGACAGAGAGATAACTATGTTATCGCCTTTGAAGAAGTGTCTTTCTTAAGAAACCTATATAGCCTTATCAAGACTCTAATGCTGATGGATAACCCCCTTCTCAAAAATCACAATTTGATTGCATTTTCTTTTACAGGATCTTCAAAATGCAAGCCAATACAATACTTCTGAGGCTTGTATCACCTATCCGCTTACACAATTAATGAGCTTATCATTACTCTTCCGATAAAAATAAGACCATTCCACTTACTCTGGGCTTTTAAATATACCTACTTTCCAGATATGAAATCTATAGACAGGCAATGTTAGCACCTATACCTGGCCTTGTGAGCTTCCCACAATTTATTTATCTATCAGGTGCCACTGAGAAATGGATCTTTTCGTTTTTTAAAAAAATCCCATTTGACTCTGTCTCATCCTCCCATTCTCTGTCTAGCCCAATTATATTGACAATCTGGTCTTTTCTTCCTAGCCTTCCTTCAGGACAACTTCTGGTTTTTGTTCTTCCCACAAAAACTCCAGTATAAAAGAATAAATCCACTTTCATGTTAAGCTTCAGGCCTCTTAAATAATCTCTCTTAGATCAATGATAAAGAAAGACTAGGAAACAGCTCAAAACCCTCCCCTGACTTTGCAACTTACTAAAACTAAAATGGGATCTTTTTGCCGGGCATGCCTTACAAGCTACTCACTCATTCATTCAGGCAATAAGCATATGTTGGGTACACACTCTATGCCAAGCACTATTCTAGGTGACTATTGATAAGACCGAAGCATTGTAATTCCCCTGTATTTAATAAATAAGAAGGAAAATACCAAGGAACAAATACTGACATGATATGACTGTAGATAATGAAGTGGGATACAGAAACATAAAGCAGGGTGGAGGTAGGGCGATGGAAAACAAGAAAGGATGGTCAGGGTTTCTGGGGCTAAGCAAGTCAGGAAAGACCCCTTTCAGGAGGTGATGTTGAAACAGAGATCCAAATGAATATCTAGGGAAAGCTTTTTAAGTCATGTGAACGCCGTGTGTTCAGATGTAGGCCTGGAATACATTTGGCAAGTTCAAGAGAGAGAGAATGAGTCCAAAGTGCTTAGATAGGAGTAGATGAGTGAGGTTACTACTGGAAAGGGGCTAGATCAAGCAGGCATGAGTGTGATGGGAAACCAGTGGCTACTTTCAGTTACTCCTAATCTGTCTTCAGTCCTGAGGACAGATGAAGCAAAAAATTCCTTTTACTGACCACAAGTCTCAATATTTCAGGGAAATAATTCTACTAGCATGTCAATAAAAATGGATTTTTATGTCCTCTCAATATATCTTTAGGCTGAAGCAAATAAACTTTATGCTTTAGAAAAATATTTAGCAATATTACATCAGGGAAATGCAAATTAAAACCACAATGAGACACTATCTTACCACAGATAGAATGCCTTTCATTAAAAAGTCAAAAAATAGATGTTGGCGCAGATGTGGTGAAAAGAGAATACTGATACACTATTTCTGGGAATGTAAATTAGCACACCCTCTCTGGAAAACAGCAGGAATACTTCTCAAAGAACGAAAAGTACATCTACTATGTTATCCTGCAATCTCACTACTGAGTACACAAAGGAAAAGAATTCATTATGTAAAAAGAACACCAGTATGTGTGTATACATTACAGCACAAGTCACGATAGCAAAGATATGGAATCAACCAAAGCGCCCACCAATTGATGAGTAGATAAAAAAAAGTATATATATTTCATTTAGTATAGACTATTATCACTAAATTTTTTTAATTATTGCTCTAACCATAGTACCATATACATGGAATACTATTAAATACATAAAAACGAATGAAAAATGTCTTTTGTGGCAACTTGGATAGAACTGGAGGTCATAATGCTAAGTAAAGTAACCTAAGAATGGGAAAACAAATATGGGTATACAAAGGCATACAGAGTGGTATAAGGGACACTGGAGACCCAGAAGAGGGGAGGGTTGGATGGGGGTGAGGGATGAAAAAATACCTATTGGATACAATGTATACTACTCTAGTGACAGGTACATTAAAATCCCAGACTTCAACACTGTACAATGCATCCATGTAACCAAGACCCACTTGTACCCCAAAAGCTATTAAAATTTAAAACAGACAAAATGATTTTTAAAAAGGAAAATTAAAGGACACATATGTTTTACGGAATAGTCTCAGGGCCTTCTTGCATCATGAAAACCAACCACAGTACCAAAAAGTGCTTTATAAAATAAAATATTCTGTTGATGTGTTGAGAAAATAAAAATGGACTTGCACGCAGTACAGTTAGAACAATAATTTAAAAAAGAAAAATGTTTAGTGATATTAGAATATACTCACAAAATTATATTTCCCATGAAAAGCAAAGAGCAACACAGAGTAGTTGGTCCCATTTATCTTAAAAACTATATATTTATAGGCCGGTGCAGTGGCTCAGACCTGTAATCCCAGCACTTTAGGAGGCCAAGGCGGGCGGATCACGATGTCAGGAGATGGAGACTATCCTGGCTAACACAGTGAAACCCTGTCTCTACTAAAAATACAAAAAATTAGCCAGGCGTGGTGGTGGGTGCCTGTAGTCCCAGCTACTCGGGAGGATGAGGCAGGAAAATGGTGTGAACCCGGGAGGCGGAGCTTGCAGTGAGCCGAGATCATGCCACTGCAGTCCAGCCTGGGGGACAGAGTGAGACTCCATCTCAAAAAAAAATATTAAAAAATTATATATTTATATATTTGCATGTGTGTATATTTATACGTAATACTTATTTTTGATCATATATTTATATATTTCATGAAATATATATATAAAAACCTCACACAATTATGCACTATAATAGTTGAAGTAATTTTACAGATGGCAGAGTTATAGAGGATATTATTCTATTTTTTATTATTTTTAATTTTACTATATTTTCCAAATTTCCCGCAACATGCCTTTTTCATTATAAAAGTGATAATAAACTATGACTTCTATTATTTAAAAAGCTACAAAACGAAGATCTTTTTAAAATTACTCTAATTTGTAGATCTTTATGAAAATGTGGAGGAAGACTCATTGTTTAGAATTGTTAATCAATTATGTTTGCATCATAGTACTACTACTAATTAACAGTATGATGTTAGATTTATTGCTTAACTTCTCTGGGTTAGTTTTACCATCTAGTAATGTGAATATAGTGCTCACTTCAGCAGCACATATACTGAAATTGGAACGGTACAAAGAAGATTAGCATGACCCCCATGCAAGGATGATATGCAAATTCATGAAGCATTTAAAAAATTAAATAAAAAAAGAAAAGAAAGAATTTTTATGATAAATTAAAATGACTGAAAGCAAGAAACTTGCAGAAATATCTTTGTTATACTATCTTAGAGGGCAGGGATTATACAAGTATTTATAAAATATCCAGCAGATTTTTAATGGAGTAGCTTCAGTTAAATTAGAAAAGGTTTTGATTGCAAACTCTAAAGAAGTCTCTATCAATATATAATCAGAGAATAATAAAATTACTATTTTGAAACTGACCTTGAGGCATCTCTTCTGTCATTAATTCCAGTCTTCCTTTTCCATGAGCGAATGTCCAACTTTTCCCTGCACACTTTTAACAATGGGACTCTCATTCATTTGGCAGTATTAGGATAGAACTCACTATTAGTTTTTTTTTTTTTTCCTCTGTTAAGCCAAAATCCATTTATCTGTTCCTTTCACTCTACATCCTGCTTCTTTCTTCAGGATCTAGATAAAATTCGCCTGATCCAACAGTCACACGATAGCCTTTTCAGTTTCTAAAAACAGCTATCATTTCCCCTCTCTACTAATACAGATTATTATTCACTTTTTCCCCAGCTAATCCTTGGAAAATAAGGTTGCTAGGCCCCTCACTTTCCCCTGGAGCACACACACTATATACTTATGAAATTGTGGAATCTAAGCCTGAATACAATTTCAACCAAGTTTCACTAGCATAAAACACAGGATTCCACCTGCCTAGCTGTCTTAATTGATTTTAAAATCATATAACATTGTAGGAGTCCTATCATTGGTTGTCTTAACTGAACTTTGAACACGGTACACTGAAAAGGCATTGGCCTTGAAACTCAAGAGATGTAGGGTCCAGTACAGTGCCTGGCACATAGTAAGCACAGTAGTCCCCACTTATTCATGTGGGATGCATTGCAAGACTCCCAGTGGATGCTTGAAACCATGGATAGTACAGAACCCTAGATATACTATGTTTCTTCCTATACATACATACCCATGATAATATTTAACTTGTAAACTAGGCACAGTTAGATTAATAACAATAGTAATACAATAGAACAACTATAATAATATACTGTCATAAAAGTTATGTGAAATCGGTCTCTGTCTTGAAATATCTTATCATATTATACTCACATTTCTTGAGCCTACATGTTGAGTTGAAAGGAGATGAATGACATAGGCACTGTGATGTAGCTATAGGCTACTATTGACCTTCTGACAACACATCAGAAGGAAAATCATCTGCTTGGGGTGATTCTGGTCCTCAATCCATGTAGATGTCGATAGCTGGATGTCAGGAGCAGACAATGTTGATGACTAATGGGTGAATGGGTAGCATACATATGGATATGCTGAACAAAGGTATGATCTGTGTCCAGGGTGGGATGGAGCAGGACAGTGGGAGATTTCATCATGCCACTCAGACTGGCTTGCAATCTAAGACTTATAAATTGTAGATTTCTGGAATTTTTCATTTATTATTTTTGGACTGCAGTTGACCTCAGGTAACTAAAACCACATAAAGGAGAAACACAGATATGGGGGATCTACTATTTTCAATAAATTATGGCTGTTATTGTCATAATTACTACTGTAATTATTTAAAAACGCTTAAGATATTTTAGATTTGTAATCACTGAGCCCTATTTTCCTGAACCTGTGTAACACATTTCGTTTTTTAGAAATCTGGGTAGAACGTTCATCTTTGTTAACTGTATTTTATGAGAATTAAATTGTCTTATCAAGTAACCCTGTTAAAAGCTTTTAGGATTGTGATTCAGTGTGAAACCACATGTGCTTTCCCTTCCAGATCTCTGTCACCTGTGCATGCGATGAGCTATTCACTATATCTTCAGTCAAGCCACAGATAAAAATGTTGACTGAAGCAAGTTCAAAGTCTGAGGCACATGTGTTGTGCATCACCTGATGTGAGAAAGAAAGGAACTGCTTATAGCCGTGTATACCTGTGTCGTTTGAGAAATGGCAGACTAAGCCATTTTTCATCATTTAATTTTAACCCTCTGGGTCACTACATTTACCTGAAGTGCACTTAACATTATAGAATCTAAGACCATTTGAAAATTGTCATTGGCATTAGTTCTTGTTTTTTTTAAAAAATATAGACTGAATCACAACTCAAACTTGTGAACTCTATTGGTATATCTGAGCAGTATAATTAATGAATTTCAGTTAATTTGTAAAGACTTACTCTGTTCTAGGCCCTAAGCCAGAGCCTGAAGAAGTTCACGGTCTAGTGAAATACACAAATATATATTATATCATCGTATGTATGTTGTCAAGTATTAAAACAGAGGCATTCATGACTGTTTCTAAAGTGTCATAACCAAATTCCTGGCCACATAATTAAAAACATTTTAGAGCTGGCAAATATTTTATAGATTATCAAATCCAATCTTTTAATTATATCCAGAAACTGGCTCAAAAAAGGGAACCAACTTGGCTGGGCACAGTGGCTCACGCCTGTAATCCCAGCACTTTGGGAGGCTGAGGCGGGCAGATCACAAGGTCAGGAGATCGAGACCATCCTGGCTAACACGGTGAAATCCCCTCTCTACTAAAAATACAAAAAAATTAGCCGGGCATGGTGATGGGCGCCTGTAGTCCCAGCTACTCGGGAAGCCGAGGCAGGAAAATGGTGTGAACCCAGGAGGCAGAGCTTGCAATGAGCCGAGATCATGCCACTGCACTCTAGCCTGGTGGACAGAGCAGGACTCAGTCTCGAAAAAAAAAAGAAAAAGAAAGAAAAGGGAACCAACTTGCCCAAGTTCACATAGCTAACTGATGGACAAGAACTCAGATGTTTGAGTGCCTATAGAAATGTCCTTCCCCTATCCTCCACTTGACAATGTCCTCCTGCACCAATAAATATGTACATTTGTTTATATGTAATGGTAGACCATCCTAAGAGTCATCTTTCTGAAGAATCTTATAATCCAGGATTGAAGGTATGGATACAGAATAAATAAGAAATGTGTATCCTATTGAGTCTTTATCCCTGAGTATATCTAAGGAATTAAATGTACATGTTCATGCACAATTAAATTCCCTTACATTCCAATATTAGCTTGTCATTATTTGTTTTTTTCCCCCTCCTCCATGGAATATAGGGAAGTACAATAACACCTTATTAATTAAGGATTAATGCTCATTCGTTTTTAATTAATTCATCCCTCAAATATTTATTGACTTTCCACTATGTGAAAGCTCATTTTGAGACCAGAAAAGTTCCCTGGTCCCCTTTTCAGGGCATGCAATGAGGGTGTGGCTTGCTTCTTCAGTGCCCCACTGCTCAAACCTCTAGGGGAGCATACAGACAGGCAGGCTGTGGAGCTCCCACCCCATGGAAGTGTCTGGAGGTGAATGTTTATAGCTGAGGCCCCAGTGGGCATGGGTTACAGGGTGCTAACTTAGTTTAGCCACCTGTAGGCATCTTGTGTTAACCAGCTCAATTACACCCTCTACATTGTCAGAAAGACAGAGGACTTTCTTTATCCTGGGTTCTTGCCTTGGTGTTCCAGAAGAATCAGATCACACCTGGGCTTGGAGAATAAGTTCAAGGTTTTATTGAGTGGACATAGCTCTCAGCAGATGGGGGAAGCCAGAAGGGGATGGAGTGGGTCAGGCCGCTCAACAGCCTGGGCCCTTCTCCGACTACCCCAGCCAAACTCTGCCTCCTACTGTGTCCGGAATTGGTGGGTTCTTGGTCTCACTGACTTCAAGAATGAAGCCGCAGATCCTCACGGTGAGTGTTACAGTTCTTAAAGATGGTGTGTCCGGAGTTTCTTTCTTCTGGTGGGTTCATGGTCTCGCTGGCTTCAGGAGTGAAGCTGCAGACCTTCACGGTGAGTGTTACAGCTCTTAAAGGCGGTGCAACTGGAGTTGTTCTTTCCTCTCGTCAGGAGTTGTTCGTCCCTCCTGGTGGGTTCATGGTCTCGCTGGCTTCAAGAGTGAAGCTGCAGACCTTCATGGTGAGTGTTACAGCTCACAAAGTTGGCGTGGACACAAAGAGTGAGCAGCAGCAAGATTTATTGCAAAGAGCAAAAGAATAAAGCTTCCACAGCATGGAAGCGGACCTGAGCGGGTTGCCACCGCTAGCTTGGGCAGCCTGCTTTTATTCCCTTATCTGACCCTACCCACATTCTGCTGATTGGCCCATTTTACACAGAGCTGATTGGTCCATTTTGACAGGGTGCTGATTGGTGCATTTACAATCCCTGAGCTAGACACAGAGTGCTGACTGGTGTATTTACAATCCTCTAGCTAGACGTAAAAGTTCTCCAAGTCCCCACTAGATTAGCTAGACACAGAGCATTGATTGGTGTGTTTACAAACCTTGAGCTAGACACAGAGTGCTGATTGGTGTGTCTACAAACCTTGAGCTAGACACAGTGCTGATTGGTGAGTTTACAAACCTTGAGCTAGACAGAGTGCTGATTGGTGCATTTACAATCCTTTAGATAGACATAAAAGTTCTCCAAGTCCACATCAGATTAGCTAGATACAGAGTGCTGATTGGTGCATCCACGAACTCGGAGCTAGACACAGAGTGCTGATTGGTGCATATACAATCCTCCGGCTAGACATAAAAGTTCTCCAAGTCCCCACACAACTCAGGAGCTCAGCTGGTTTCACCTAGTGGATCCTGCGCCAGGACCACGGGCAGAACTGCCCACCAGTCTCCTTGGCTGGTCAATGGGACCGGGTGCCACAGAGCAGGGGGCAGCGCCCATCAGGGAGGCTCAGGCCACGTGGGAGCCCACCGCAGGGTGGTGGTGGGGGTGCCGTGGGCATGGCAGGCTGCAGGTCACGAGCCCTGCCCCATGGGGAGGTGGCTGAGGCCTGGTGAGAATTCCAGAGCGGTGCGGGTGGGCAAGCAGTGCTGGGGGGCCCGATGCCCCCTCCGCAGCTGCTGGCCTGGGTGCTAAGCCCCTCACTACCTGGGCCTGCAGTGCCAGCCGGCCACTCCGAGTGTGGGGCCCCCTGAGCCCGCACCCACCAGGAACTCACGAATGCCCATGAGGGCCGCGCACAGCCCTGGTTCCCGCCTGCGCCTCTCCCTCCCTCCACACCTCCCCTCAAGCAGAGGGAGCCAGCTCCAGCCTCAGCCAGCCCAGAGAGGGGCTCCTACAGTGCAGCAGTGGGCTGAAGTGCTCCTCAAGTGTGGCCAGAGCAGACGCCAAGGCTGAGGAGGTGTGTAGAGCAAGTGAGGGCTGCTCACGTTGTCACCTCTCAGTTCCACCTGTCGATGGGCTGCCTGTGTGCTGGCATCTGTCCTGTGCTCTTCTGCCAGCATGCTCCCCTCAACATCCTCTCGATGTCCATCCACTTGTGTCTTCTTCAGCCGATATGTTCCTCTCAACGTCCAGCCACTTGTGTCTCTGCCTGCTAGGATCTTGGGGTTTTTATAGGCACAGGATGGGGCATGGCAAGCCAGGATGGTCTTGGGAAATGCAGCATTTGGCCAGGAAAACAAAAATGCCTGTCTTCACCTAGATCCGTGGGCACAGGCCCAAGGGTGGAGCCCTAGCCAGGGACTATGCCCTTCCTCACTTCCATATCATTTAAAAGGAGCACTCCCTTCCCTTCTCAGCATTTCCCTTGTCCCCTTTGGCATCACTTTGTAAGATAAGATACAGAGTAACTATGGTAGCAGCCCTAAGGAAGTCCATTTGTCTTGGTAGTACTCTGCTCTTTGTGTTACAATGAAATGTATCATAAAGCCTAATAACACATGAATATTCTGGATACTTACTCTTACAAAGGACACACAGGCTACTGCCACTGTTCTAGGGTATCTGTGCCACAATTAAGTGTTAGTGAAGCAAATATTTATTGGATCTTAGTGTCTGAAAGAAACTGAGATATGTGATTTTCATAATATTTTCTGATTTGGCACTCCCAACTCCTCTGAGAAGTTAATATTCTAATTGCCCACTAGTGATTATAGCTGAAAACCTGAGGTTGCTAATGCTGAGTAATTTATCTCAGGTCATACAAGTAAATGAAGGAGCTAGCATTTGAATGCAAGTCTTTGTGACTTCAAAGCCTATGCTGTTTCCACAGAACTTTCACAATGTTCTGGAATCAAAGGGTGGTGACAACCATCAGTGTCTAAAATGGGTGAGGAAAGCTTGGAAGGAGTGAGTTCGTCACTGACTTCAATAGTTTGCATTTGTTTAAGTTTAACCTGTAATGATAACAGATATTTTTATAAATTGGAATATAAACATGTGCACTTTCCTCGAGTATCTCTAAGTGCAAGATTCTGCACTAAAGCTGTGAAATTCTGCGATTGATCATTTTAAGAAGCTATTATTCACTATTGCTGTTAATGAGAATGATTTTTTACTTCCTTTTCTGAAGCTTCTCTTTCTGTATTTTCAACATGGGCAGTTATACACAAAGTCATTTACTATACATTTTGTTTTGTTTTTTTTTTTCCACTGTGGATGGTTCTGGCACTGAGTTTATCTCCTGTTAAGCACATTTCTTCTTGGCCATGAAGATGAGCCAAATTGCCTTAGCTATTTGGTCTTACCCATGGTGCAACACTTGCCAGAAGTTTCTCCAGGGAAATTATGCAGCTCTAAGCAGCTCCAGATCTTTTAGCCCCAAGTTTCCTCAAAATAACCTGGACATTTTCCACACTCTTCAGTTCCACCTCACTGGTCCCTGGACGAGTTGTGTAAGGTTTTTGAATGACCTTGATCCACCCTAATTTGAAATCGCCACAGGTATCAGAAGGAAAAGCTGACAGGGGATTATTCCCAAGTAGGACAGATCACCTCTAAACTGACACAGGCCCCATAGGAAGGGCTCAATCTTCTGTTTTTCTTACTGGGTGGCTTTTTCACTTATGATGGGGAAAGGAGTTCTGTCGAGAATAGACATCCCCCTGGCTCTTTCTTAGAAGAGTCAGAGATGAAAAAGCAGGAGACAGATTCCTAATCTTTTATTTACTTCCCCAAAAGCGAATTTGCAGTATAGACAGGAGACTAAAATGGCAAGGACTTCAGTTAACAGTGCAGCACCAAGCAGTGGCGATAAAATAATAAATAGGATGCACAGAGTCCTTCACTCCCAAAATCAGTAGTTAAGCACCATTTCAATAAACTTATTTCTCTAAAGTAGTGCACATACCAGGAAAGGGGAAAGGAGTACTAGGGGAGCTGAGAATGGGACTCAAACCCAAACCCACAGAGCTGGGCAAAGTTCTGACTTCAAATACCTAAGTCTACTTGTCCTCAGAGATTATATATTTTATTTTTAATCCAATAGGCATTTATGTAATACTTGCTATATGCCATGCTCTATTATAAGAGCTTTAGAAACATTCAGCCAGGCACAGTGGTTCACGCCTGTAATCCCAGCGCTTTGGGAGACCAAGGTGGGCAGATCACAAGATCAGGAGTTTGAGACCAGCCTGGCCAACATAGTGAAACCCCATCTCTACTAAAAATACAACAAGTTAGCTGGGGGTGGTGGCGGGTGCCTGTAATCCCAGCTACTCGGGAGGCTGAGGCAGGAGAATCACTTGAACCCAGGAGGCAGAGGTTGCAGCCAGCCGAGATGGCGCCACTGCACACCAGCCAGGGTGATAGTGTGAGACTCTGTCTCAAAAAAAAAAATTCATTTAATCTTCATATTAAACCTATGAAATAGATACTATCATCCCTGGTCCCATTATATGGATGAGGAAACTGAGGCACAGGTAATTTGAGTAACCTGCTCAAGGTCACACAACTAGGAAGTGGCAGAGCTGGGTTTTGAACCCAGATGCCATGCTCTTATTCCTAAAATAGGAATCTATCAATAAATCCTTTAAAAGGAAAAGTTCCTATAACCTGGTCAGGGGTGGCATGGGAAAGGAAGACTTGGAAAGACTATTTGCATTCTGCAGTGCTGAAGAAGTACAAGAGGAGGGCATCACTCATTCTCTGGTCTTGGTCTGTAGGAAAATGAGGACCCCAAGAAACTGCTGGAGCCACAAATATGGCCTCGGCCATGTGGTGCAAAAGCCTGTGTGGGCTCCTGCCAAGACACCAAAATAGCTTATTCATATTGAAATTTTAGTCTAATCCAGGCCCATGATAGACCTTGGATAGTGCCAATTTCTAAAGAAGAGAACATGTAAATAGTCCTTTCCCATCTTAAAAGTAATTTTTGCAGATAGTAGCTTCTCCTGCCACACTTCTCCTCTACATGCAGAGAGAGGATCGATGACAAAGACCCCTCTATGACAGAGAAGTCCCAAACTACCCTCACACTGCCAGCCTTTCAGAGGAAATGAGAGAGAGAGCAGCTGGTCAAACCAGAGACAGAATATCGTTTTTGTTACCTACCTTCCCTAATCCAAAAATAGCTAGATCCCCCAGTAGCCAGGAAACTTGAAGAAAAGAGACAGGAAAAGAGGTAAACGCGTCAATTTCATGAACTAGAAAACACTAAAAATTCGGGCAAGGATTACCACACTGAAATAAAACCTCCATGGCCCTTCAATCACCAAACCATCTCTACAGCAGACTGCCCTTTCAAATATTTATTTTGTATTTTTCTTTCATTTTCCTCGCCCCCATTACCCAGAAAATGGAAATAGGTGAAATACTACTTGCATGACCTTGAAAAAGTATCCCACACTCTTTGCATCTCAGTCTCCTTATCTGTAAAATGTGAATAATCTGACCCCACAGGGTAGCGCTAACTGATGGAAGCACCTGGCACAGGGCCTGTTTCATAAGGAATGCTCAATATAGGCTTCTCCTTCTTCTTTTATTATTTATTTTTTTAGGCAGAGTCTTGCTCCGTCACCATGTTGGAGTGTAATGGCGCAATCTCAGCTCACTGCAACCTCCATCTCCCGGGTTCAAGTGATTCTCCAGCCTCAGCCTCCCGAGTAGCTGGGACTACAGGGGCATGCCACCACGCCCAGCTAACTTTTTTGTATTTTTAGTGGAGACGGGGTTTCACAATGTTGGCCAGGATAGTCTCGATCTCTTGACCTCGTTACCCACCCACCTTGGCCTACCAAAGTGCTGGAATTACAGGCATGAGCCACCACACCCAGCTGGCTTCTCCTTTTTATTAACAAAAGCAGCTTTTGAGCACTTGCTTATCTTCCTAGTTAGCTTTGTGATCTTGCATATGTCATTTTAACTTAGCTGAACCTTCATTGCCATCCATAAAAATCAGTGCAAAGAAATGAAAGGATTTATCATTTTGACAACCAGAATTTCTATGAGGAAGGAGGCTGTGTTTGTATTTAAAAAAAAAAAAAAAAACACTTTGATGATTTCTGGTGTTAGCTAATCGGCATCATGGCTTCCAACAAGAGGGACAAAATGCTCTCTATGGGACAACTAAACTGGAAATAGAGAAATAAAGAAAATACCTGATGAGAGAAGAGCGGGAGGAGGGACAAAAAAAGACAGCCTAATGGGGTTAAAGGTTTGTGAAGCTCTGCAGTGGTGGGGTAGCTGAGGATGTTGTAAGAGCAAGGTTTCTTACTATTGTGTTTAAAGTTGTTTACGTTGCTTGGACTTAAAGCTTTCTCTGTTTCACCACTACATCTTACAGATAGTCTAATAAGGATATTTGTTAGGAATGTTAAACTTAAGGAATTTGAAGAACCTGAGTTCCAAGTGTAGGTCAACAAAGATGACCCAGGACAGAGCAGGTGCCCAGACATGTAGGTGGTCATGAAAGCAGAACCTTGGATACATCCAGAGAAGTCCTGGCTGTCTGCAGGCCCAGGCAGATGAGAAGGGAATCTGAAGCCCATGTTACCTAGATTTTTCAGAGGCAAGGAAGATTTCAGCTGAGAGTACAGTTACCGGAGGATAATCATATGAACTTAGCAGGTAAATGACTTCACATCCATCTCAAGTTATATGGCCTTATAAGTGTTCTCCCTCTCTCTATTCCCTCTTTCCATTCTTTGTTTCTTGTGGTCTTTATATCTTGCTTTTAATAAAAATGCTGTAGTTTTACGTTGGAGTGCATATTTCTATGCCGTAGTCCAACCCACATTATTCCAAAGGGGAAATATTAGCTTGTCTATTCCAACTGCAGTATCTTTCAATCTCCAGAAAGCATATATGTTTTTTTCTTTTAAACCACATCATCCAGTGAATATTCATCTATGTAAAAGTGATTCATTATCACCTTTCATTTTTACTATCCACTATCTTATTGTTCATTACTATCTAGAGGCTGGTTTCTCACTTTTGTCCTTGGATTTGCAATTTTTATTGCTGCTGCAGACTACTTTTCATATCTCCTTTTACAGTTTCTGTGTTTCTCCATAACCATCCCTCTGTGTTCCATGATCAAGTAAAGTGGCAGTCACTAAATTATTGGGAATTCTCTATAGCTTCCCATCATTGGTGATGTTGGACCATACAGTCTGCTCACTCTTTTCGGTGAGCCATATATTGAAAAAGATATATGGGTATTAACACTTCAGTGTCTGGCAGATTTAGAGATCAACTTCCTGTTTATTATCAACTATTATCTGTGTTGATTTTGTAATTCTCTTTTTCTTTCTCTCTCTAGTTCTATACAATTGTGTTGCTTAGTTTCCTGTGCCATTGCAAAGCTGTTTCTTCGTCTCGATTGTCAATACCTAGATTTCAGGTCCTCTGCAAACCTCTTTTCTTTCATTTAATAAACTCATTTGGTTAGTTCCCACTATACAAGAAAACAAATTTCAGGCACCCTGGAATTTCTCATGGACTCTTCTCTAAAATACTCACCTTGGGCCGGGCACGGTGGCTCACGCCTGTAATCCCAGCATTTTGGGAGGCCAAGGCAGGCGGATCATGAGGTCAGGAGATCGAGACCATCCTGGCTAACATGGTGAAACCTCATCTCTACTAAAAGTACAAAAAATTAGCTGGGCGTGGTGTTGGGCACCTGTAGTCCCAGCTACTCGGGAGGCTGAGGCAGGAGAATGGCGTGAACCCAGGAGGCGGCACATGCAGTGAGCCCAGAATGCGCCACTGCACCCCAGCCTGAGCAACAGTGTAAGACTCTGTCTCAAAAATAATAATAATAATAAAATAAAATAAAAAATAAAATAAAATACTCACCTTGGCCAAATTCTCTGCCACCAGTCCCTACTTTTCCCCCACCCTACATCAAAGTTGTAAATAGTTGATTAATGA
The DNA here is from genome assembly GCF_000001405.40 of Homo sapiens. Taxonomy (NCBI): domain Eukaryota; kingdom Metazoa; phylum Chordata; class Mammalia; order Primates; family Hominidae; genus Homo; species Homo sapiens. The sequence goes on from NC_000011.10 coordinate 80,539,232, forward strand.
TACTCTTCAATTTGGGAACATTATCAGTTATTATCACTGGTCCACAAAAGGTCCTTCCCTTATTTCATATATTTATGTATTTTCTCTTTTCACAATGTGTTATTCCCACTTGTTTGCATGTTCATACAGTCGTTTCTGCTATAATGCTTGTTATGCAACTGTGAATTTGTTTCCATGCCGTTGACAGAGCAAACAATTTGAGTATAATGTAAAATTTATGTTGTGTGGAATTCTGTCCAGGAGAAACACTAGGTGAATTCAGAAAACTGTACTCCAGTGACTGGAGCACCAAAGAAACATAAACATACCAAAAGCATACGTATACACACTCCTCAAATGTGTACTAGCTACCTCAATTCCCTGTCTGTGTTAGGAGCCATACAAATAAACATCTGGCACTACAACCGAATGAAAGTTTTCATATGTACATATTGTAACATGTATGTACTTTAACCACTTAACGTATATAATTGTGCTGCAGTTTTTATTAGATTTCAAACTTTTTAATGTCACTGGAAAATATTTTTTGTTCCCCAAACACATTGTTCTCACAAGCACAGTGTTTTCTACTTCATGCTTTTGCATACCAATGTGATTTTTAGAAAAGAATAAGTTGCTTTATGAAGAAATGACTATTGGTTTATACACACATATATATAATTTATAAAAGTTAAATTATGTATAAATGTCATTCTGTTTCCTGCTGGGTTTTTTTTAATCTAAGTACTATGCTTTCGGATCCTTCAATGTTGTTATTTATGGTTTCTAACCACTACAAATCACTCTTCTATATTTTACCCATCTACTCTCCCATGGGTAGACACCCACTCAAGTCATTTTCAAATTTCTCCTACTAAATAACATTAAAATAAAATTTAAAAAAAACCTGTGCAAACCTTCTTCTGGCTCTACATAACAACTTTCTTTAGAATAAATACTCAGAAGCGGAATTGCCAGATCATAAAGTAAGAAAACCTTTACTTTTCCTAAAGAGTGCCAGCATGTTCTCGAAAAGGTATATGCTATCAAAATACCAATAATATTCTTCCCAGCAGTAAAAAAAAAGTATTAAAATTTCTATAAAACCACAAAGGACCCCAAATAACCAAAACAATAGTGAGCAAAAAGAACAAAACTAAAGGCATCAGATTGCCTGACTTCAAAATATACTACAAAGCTATAGTAACCCAAACTACATGATACTGGTATGAAAACAGATACATAGACCAAATAAATGGAATAGGGAGTCCAGAAATAAATTCATGTATTTACAGCCAACTGTAAATACAATTTTGACAAAGGCACCAAGGACATACACTTGGGAAAAGGCACCCTCATTAATAAATGGTGCTGGGAATACTAGATATCCATATGTAGAAGAATGAAACTAGACCCCTATCTCTCACCATATACAAAAGTCAACTCAAGATGGATTAAAACTTAAACATAAGACCTGAAACTATAAAATTACTAGAGGAAAACGGAGGGGAAATGGTCTAGAACTTTGGTCTAGGCAGAGATTTTATGGCCCAGCCTTCAAAAGCACAAGCAACAAAACCAAGAAAAGACAAATGGAACTATACCAAACTAAAAACAGCTTCTACACAACAAAGGAAACAATCAACAGTGTTAAGATACAATCTGTAGAATGGAAAAAAAAAGTTTGCAAAGTATTCCTCCAACAAGGTACTAATATCTAGACTATACAAGGAACACAAACAACTCAACAGCAAAAAAAAAAGTCACTTAAAAACGGGCAAAGGATCTGAATAGAAACTTCTCAAAAGAAGACACGCAAATAGCCAGCAGGTATATGAAAAATGTTCAAATTCACTGATCATCAAGAAAATGCAAATCAAAACCACAATTGAATATCATCTCACTGCATTTAGAATAGCTATTATCAAAAAGACAAAAAATAAAAGCTGGCAAGGAAGCAAAGAAAAGGAAACTCTTACACACTGTTAGTGGGAATGTGGATTCATACATCCATTATGAAAAATACTATGGAGCTTTCTTAAAAAACTAAAATTAAAACTACCATATGATCCAGTAATCCTACTACTAAGTATTTATCCAAAGGGAAATCAGTGTATCAAAGGGACATCTGCACCCCCATGTTTACTGCAGCACTATTCACAATAGCCAATATATGGAACCACCCTAAGTGTCCAACAATGGATAAATAAGAAAATGTGTTATAGATACACAACGGAATACTATCCAGTTATTTAAAAAGAACAAAATCCTGTCATTTGCAGCAATGTGGTTAGAAGTGGAGCTCAATAATTTAAGCGGAATAAGCCAGACAAAGACAAGTATCATATGTTCCTACTTATATGTGGGAGCTAAGAAAGTTGACCTCAGGCCGGCACCCTGGCTCACACCTGTAACCCCAACACTTTGGGAGGCCAAGGCGGGTGGATCACCTGAGGTTAGGAGTTTGAGACTAGCCTGGCCAACATGGCGAAACCCTGTCTCTACTAAAAATTAAAAATTTAGCTGGGTATGGTGGCACGTGCCTGTAATCCCAGCTACTTGGGAGGCTGAGGCAGGACAATCTCTCGAACCTGGGAGGCAGAGGTTGTGGTGAGCCGAGATCATGCCACTGCACTCCAGCATGAGCAACAGAGTGAGACTCCATCTCAGAAAAAAAAAAAAAAAAAAAAAAGAACATTGATCTCATGGAGATAGAGAGTAAAATGACAGTTACTAGAGCCTGGGAAGTAGTAGAGGTGAAGAGAGATTGCTTAATGGATAAAAACATACAATTACATAGAAGGAATGAGTCTAGTGTTCAGTAGTACAGTAGGATGGCCACAGTTAACAGTAATTTATTGTATATTTCCAAATAGCTGGAAGATCTGAAATGTTCTCAGTATTAAAAATGATAAACATTTGAGGCAAAGGATATCCTAACTACTCTGATTTAATAATTATATATTGTATGCAAGTATCAAAATATCACATATACTCCATAAATATGTACAATTATTATGTTTTGATAAAAAATAAGGCACCTGCTAGTCTAACAATGCAAAAGCATGCTTTTATCTCCAGCTTTACCCAACACTCAAGGTTCTTAGCATTCTAATTTTTGCCACCTAATGTACATTCCCCTCTGCCATTTCTTCCTGTTTTCATATCCAGTTTCACATCACCTGTGATTCTTTTGACTCTGCCTTACTCCTGAGGCTCAGTCCACAGTGATATTTCTTCAGCTCTGACATTCACATTTTTTTTCTGCATGTTCCACACCCATCCTATGGCTATACTATATTCCTCAATAAATATCCCATCAGTTCTATCAAGCCCCAGATGCCTGTCCACTCATTCAGCATAGACTCTCATATCTAATTCTGCCATCTTATTTATTCTTTCTGCTCTAAGCAAAACTTGGATACCACCACATGCCTGTCCAAGCTCCCTGGACTTTCCTAACTATTTAATATAAGTATAAATAATTCCCTTCTTCCACAAAACCTGACACACATTCATTACTTTTACTCCCCCTTGTTTCTTTATTAATAGTATTTGTTCACATATTTCTTTTACTAAGTGGATTCTGAGCTATTTGAGGGTACGGCATTTGTCTTGGATTTCATCTTTATTTCTTCCACATTTAGTAGGCTCTCAAAAACTCTCCCCTGAGTGACTGAATGAGCAAACATGAGTAAATCAAATGTTATTTTGTATCAAGTGCCCTTAAGTAATCAAAGTTTGCAACACCCAATATATTAGTCACAATTTAAAACTCTTTATTAACATAGAACAAAAAATAAGATGAGATAATTTTTAATTAAAAAACTGTATCTTAAAACCAATTCATGAAGGAGATTGATTGTTTGTCGCCTTTTTATTCTAAGAAAGTGATGTTTTATTAATTAGCCTCTCTGGTCTATGACCCTTTGCTATAGTTATCATTCTGCATATCAGTAAAGCTGGGATTTGCTAAAATGAAATATAATTGATAATCAACTCAGAAGCTAATTCTCATATCATTCTCAAGTGAATTCCATTTGACTCGATTTATCCTTTTCTTCCTCAGATTCTCTGAGATAACTTTATTAAATATTAATATAGAAGTGAGGAAGGATTATGACTATGCATTATATGTTACCCTAAAAGCGTCTGTGTAATTGGGGGCAGGGTGCTAAAACTCGGACTGTCCTGGTTTTAGCGCTAAACGTCCTGTATCCCAGAAATCTCTTCAGTCCTACGAAAATTGATGGTCATCTTAAGTCTCAATGCTCTTCATTTATTGCAGTTTCCTAAGCAGGCATTCAAGATCTCCTCTGCTTTAACTGTGACTTTCTTTTCTGTTATATTTTCAGCAGCTCTTCTTGTAATCTACTTTCTAGGCAAACTGAACCATAGTCTGATCTTTACACATGCAGTGGTTCCCTTGCCTGATGTAGTACAAGCTCAAATTATATGGATTTGGATAAAATGTTATTTTTCCCACCACATATATTCTTCTACCTATAGATGTGTCCTGCTACGAGTTTGGCTTACTTTGCTAATCTGTTCTGCCTTGCATGACAGTATCTTACATATGGGTTATCACTTTGTTTTAAAGAAGAAAGTGATATTAAACATGTAATTGCAAAATGTTAGTTCAGGCTCTGCTCATGTTTGTGTTATATCATTTATTTTACATATAAATAAATGTCCAAGTAAATGCACTGAGGCCATTCATGCATGAGTTTACATTCTATTTCTTCCTTTTGCTGTCTTGGATGAGTCACCTAACTCAGGGGCATGAATTTCTCCATCTTTGAAATGGACATAAAACATTTTGCTTATAGACATATTAAACAGCTTAACATATGTCGTATATCAGCAAACTTTTCTGTAAAGGGACGGATAGTAAATATTTTTGACTTTGTCACCTATATTATTTGACTAAAAAATATTCAATATCCCTAGTAGTGTAAAAGTAGCAATAGATAATACATAAGCAAAGGAGGTTAGTTTGTTGCAATATATTTTTATTTACAAAAAACAGCCTGTGGGACAGATTTGGCTTATGACCACAGTTTGTCAATTCCTGATGTACATTAAGTACTTAATAAGTAAGAACCACTACTATCAGGACCTAATGTGTCTTTCCTTACTGAGTGTTTTGATTCTGTAATCCTAGTACAAATTAAGCCGAAACTAATCTAACATTTGGCAATCATATTTGGAGGTTTAATTTACGTTCCTCCCATAAGTTCTCCCATACAAATAGTACAGGAAAATTATATGAGCCAATATAGTGAATCTATTCCTGGCAGGGCTAGGATGCTGAAGTTTGAGAATTTTAATATCTCATTCTCTTTTTCCTGCTTAATTGTAATGAGTGAAGCCCCTAATATTTTAACTTCTACCTTATCTAGTATCTAAAATAATTATAATCTAGTCATGAAGCATGCTACAGACTCTAAGTGGGTCCGAAATTAAGAAGTCCCCATAAACTCACTGTCCTGAGGCAAAGCCTGAGAACTCAAGTCTTTCAAGACTTTCTCTAAGATACACTAATTTCTCTAAGATATACTAATTTCTCCAAAATTCACTGTCTTTGTGTTTTGATTATCTCTATAGCTTGCCAGGTAATTTCACAGATTCCAATAATCCAGGAGATTTCCCTTTTGGCTGTGAGTTAGAATCACCTGGAAAGATTTAAGAAAGGAATTTTTCTTAAATCAGCCTCAAAAAGCAGTGACCATAACAAAAGGACAAAGTAGACTTTAGCAAAATTGAAAACTTCTTTCATTAAAAGATATTATGAATAAAATGAATTAAAAAGCCACAGACTGGAAGAAAAGGTTTACAAAACATACATCTGACTAAGGACCAGTAACCAGAACATGTATAAAATTTTGACAAAAAGAACCTTTTATGACTTAATAGTCAAAAGATAAGCAACCCAATCAAAAGTGAGCAAACATTTTAAGTTACTTCACAGAAGAAGATATGTAAATGGTGCATAAGTATATTAAAAAGTATCTAAATAACTGTGCAGTGACCTGCTCTTGCCATGGGCCTCTGGGATTCTAGCCGCAGGAAACCCTATGACCCCAGTGGACATTTGTGTTGGCAGGGGGATCTTCCCAGAGAGTTGTCAGACAGAACCCAAATCCGCATGAAGCCCAGAAGGTTTGGTTCAGGGGCAGCTGCAGTGAAAAACAGCTGTGGGTGCTCATCCTCCAAGGCTCTCGGTACTCCTCTAGGTGTCTTTCAACTTTGTTAATGACTAGACCTAGAGAGAGGAGGATATTTTTCCCTTGTAAAATGAATGAGTCTAATCTGCATGTCCCCTTGTCTGTGGGCCCCTTCCAGGGTACCATCCTGGCCACCCAGCTCATAGTGCAGTTTCAGCTGCCCCCTCAGAGTGTTTTTGCTGATGACCCCTACCAGAGTGATTTTGCCAGTGGGCCCCTCTCACCACCCTTCTAGGGTGAATTTGTCTAGAGCCCCACCTCACCCTACTAAAGTGCTTTTGCCAATGGCCCCCAATGGAATGCTATTGCCAGCAGACTGGAAGCACCTTGCTTGGCCCCTCCAGCACAGCCAGCGCTTGACTTCAAGGGACCAGAGAAAAAAGCCATGGGTCCCAGCCCTCCAGGGTAACACTATGCAGCACAGGAGTGCCAAACTGAGCCTTTGCCCTCTGAAAGCATCCAGAAATGAAGCCAATCAACTAAACCCAACATATATCGCAGTCAAACCCTCAGGGGCATTAAAGAACATAAAAACAAAAATCCTCATTCACAAGACAGCAATGCCAAAAGGTAAAGGAATATTAGCCCACATAGATTTAAACAAACAAAGAAATAAACAACAAAAAAGCAAGAATTCTGGCAACTCTAAAACCTTACCTCCAAAGAATCACACTAGCTCCCCATTAATGGTTCTTAACCAAATCGAAATGGCCAAAAAGACAGACATAGAATTCAGAAACTGGATGGCAGGGAAGCTCAACAAATTACAGAAGAAGGCTGAAACTCAATCTAAGGAAAACAGTAAAACAATTGCTGAAAGACAGTAAAACAATTGCTGAAAGAGTTGAAAGACAATGTTAAAGGAAAATATCCTGAGCCCCCAAAATCCTAAGCTAAAGGGAAAATTCAAGCTGGGAACTGCTTAGAGCAAACCTGCCTCCCATTCTATTCGAAGTCATCCCATATACAGTCAAGTCTACTAACAACCACCTAACAGTGCCATGACCCAGAAAAACACTCACATATCAATATTTCCCTTGAATGTAAATGGACTAAACACCCCACTTAAAAGGCATACAGTGGCAAGAGGAATACAAAAGCAAGACCCAACTGTTTATTGTCTTAAAGAGACCTGTCTCACATGCAATGACACCCATAGGCTCAGAGTAAAGGGTTAGAGAAAGAGCAGGCAAACAGAAAACAAAAAGAGCAAGGATTGCTGGTCTTAGACAAAACAGACCAACAATAATCAAAAAGAAAAATGAAGGGTATTATGTAATGATAAATGGTGCAATCCAACAAAAATACTTAGCTATCCTAATTATATAAGCACCCAGATTCATAAAACAAGTTCTTAGAGACCTGTGAAGAGACTTTGATAACCATAAAACAATAGTGGGAGACTTTAACACCACATTGACAGAGTTAGACAGATCATCAAGGCATATAATTAACAAAGATATGCATTTCTTAAACTCAGCAATGGACTAAATGTACCTAATAGTGATCTATAGAATAAGAATACTCCACTCAATAACAGCAGAATACCCATTCTTCTCATCTACATGTGGCACATACTCTAAAATTGACCACATTCTCAGCTATGAAGCAAGTCACAATAGATTTAAAAAAATCAAAATCATACCAACCATATTCTCAGACCACAGCACAATAAAAACAGAAATCAATTCTAAGAATATCTCTCTAAACCACACAATTACATAGAAAGTAAACCACCTGCTCCTGAATGACTTTTGGGTAAAAAATGAAATTAAGACAAACTTAAAAACTCCTCTGAAACTAATGAAAACACAGACAACACAGTAAAGCAGATCTCTGGGGCACAGCTAAAGCAGTGTAAAGAGGAAAGTATGTAGCACTAAATACATCAAGAAGTCAAAAAGATCTCAAATTGAAAACCTAAAATTACACCTAGAGGAACTAGATAAACAAAAGCACACCAAATCAAAAGCTAGCAAAAAAATTAAATGCAATAAAATCAGAGCTGCACTGAACAAAATTGTGATGCAAAAAGTCCATATAAAAAATCAACAAAACCAACAGTTGGTTATTCAAAAGAATAAACAAAATTGATAGACCACTAGCTAGATTAATAAAGGAGAAAAGAAAGAAGATCCAAATAAACACAGTCAGAAATGAAAAAGGTGGCATTAATACACAGAAACACACAAAAAATCCTCAGAGATTTTTACAAACATCTATATGCACACAAACTAGAAAACCTAGAAAAAAATGGATAAATTCCTGGAAATATACCACCTCTCAAGATTGAACCAAGAAGAAAATGAAATCCTGAATAGACCAATAACAAGTTGCAAAATGGAATCAGTAATAAAAAACCTAGCAACCAGAAGAAGCCCTGGATGAGATAGATTCACAGCCACATTCTACCAGATATACAAAGTAGTACTTATCCTAATAAAATTATTGCAAAAAAATTAAGGGGGAGGAACTCCTCCCAACTGATTCTACAAAGCCAGCACCTTATGGTGAAAAAACTTGGAAGAGACACAATGAAAAAAGAAAAATTCAGACCAATATCCCTGAACATAGATGCAAAAATCCTTAACAAAATAATAGGAAATCATATCCAGCAGCACATCAAAAAGTTAACCCACCATGAACAAGTAAGGTTTATTCCTGGAATACAAGGTTGCTTCAACATATGCAAGCCAAAAAACAGAATTAAAAACAAAACCACATGATTCTATCAATAGATGCAGAAATGGCTTCTGATGAAATGTAATGTCCCTTCATGTTAAAAACCCTCAAACTAGGCATTGAAGAAACATGCTTCAAAATAGTAAGAGCCATCAGGCCGGGCGCAGTGGCTCATGCTTGTAATCCCAGCACTTTGGGAGGCTGAGGTGGGTGGATCACAAGGTCAGGAGATGGAGGCCAGCCTGGCACACATGGTGAAAACCCGTCTCTACTAAAAATACAAAAATTAGCTGGGTCTGCTGGCGCACGCTTGTAATCCCAGCTACTAAGGAGGCGGAGGCAGAAGAATCGCTTGAACCTGGGAGGCGGAGGTGCAGTGAGCCAAGATTTTGCCATTGCACTCCAGCCTGGGCAATAGAGCCAGACTCCATCTCAAAAAGAAAATAATAATAATAAGAGCCATCTATGATGAACACACAACAAACATCATACTGAATGAGCAAAAGGTGAAAGTGTTCCCCTTGAGAACTGGAGCAGTACAAGGATGCACACTCTCATTAGCCCTATTCAACATAGTACTAGTAGTCTTAGCCAGAGCAAACAGGCCAAAGAAAGAAAGACATCCAAATAGGAAGAGAGGAAGGCAAAGACATCCAAATAGGAAGAGAAAATCTCTCTGACAGGACTTTATACCTAGAAAACTCCATAGATTCTGCCTAAAGTCTCCTAGCACTGATAAGTAACTTCAGCAAAGTCCCAGGATACAAAATCAGTTTACAAAAATTATCATCATTTTTATACACCAATAATGTCCAAGTTGAGAGTCAAATCAAGAACACAATTATATTTACAATAGCCACAAAAAGAATAAAAGACCCAGGAATACCACTAATGAAGGAGGTAAAATATCTCTACAGCAAAAACCACAAAACACTGCTGAAAGAAATCAGAGATGACACAAATGGAAGAACATTCTATGCTCATGGATTGAAAGAATCAATATTGTTAAAATGACTATACTTCCCAAAGCAATTTATGTATTCAATGCTATCCTATGGAACTACCAATGTTATTCTTCACAAAATTAGAAACAACTATTTTAAAATTCATATGAAATAAAAAAAAGAGCCTAAATAGCCAAACCAATTCTAAGAAAAGCAAACAAATCCAGAAGCGTCACATTACATGAAGAAAACTATACTACAAACCTACAGCAGCCAAAACGGCATGATACTTGTACACAAACAGACACATAGACCAACGTAACAGAATAGAGAATCCAGAAATAAAGCCACACACCTACAACTAACTGATCTTCAACAAAGTTGACAATAACAGGCAATGGGGAAAGGACTCCATATTCAATAAATGGTGCTGGGAAAACTGGCTAGTCATTTGCACAAAATTGAAACTGGACCTTTTCCTTTCATCATATACAAAAATAAACTTAAGCTGTATTAAGGACTTAAATGTAAGACCTAAAACTCTAAAAACCCTAGACAAAAAACTAGGAAATACCGTTCTGGACACCTGTCTTGGCAAAGAATTTATAACTTAGTCACCAAAAGCAACTGCAACAAAAACAAAAATTGACCAGTGGGACTTAATTAAACTAAAGATCATCATCACAGCAAAAAAAAAAAAAAAAAAACTATCAACAGAGTAAACAGACAACCTGCAGAATGGGAGAAAATATTCCCAAAGTATGCATCTGACAAAGGTCTAATATCCAGAATCTATAAAGAACTTCAGCAATTCAGGGAGCAAAAATCAAACAACTCAGTTTAAAATAAAAAGTGCAAAGCACAACACGAACAGACACTTCTCAAAAGAAGACATAAATGCAGCCAACAAATATATGAAAAACTGCTCAATATCAATAATCATTAGAAAAGTGCAAATCAAAACCGCAATGAGAAACCATCTCACAGTGGTCAGAATGGCTATCATTAAAAAGTCAGAAAATAACGATGTTGGCAAGGTTGTGGAGGAAAGGGAATGCCTATATACTACTGGTGGGAATGTAAATTAGTTTAAACACTGTGGAAAACAGTTTGGAGATTTCTCAAAGGACTTAAAGCTAATATGCCATTTGACCCAGCAATCCCACCGCTGGTTATATACTTGAAGGAAAATAAATCATTCTACCAAAAAGACACATGCACACATATGTCCATCACAGTACTATTCACAATAGCAAAGATACGGAATGTACCTAGATATCCATCAATGGTGGAATGGATAAAGAAAATGTGGTACATGTATACCATGGAATACTAGGCATCCATTTAAATGAGAAATCATGTCCTTTGAAGCAATATAGATGCAGCTGGAGGCCATTATCCTAGGTGAATTAATGCAAAAAAAAATCAAGTACTGAATGTTCTCGTTTATAAATGGGAGTTAAACATTGCGTACTTAGGGACACAAAGACAAGAAGAACAGACCGAACATAAACCTCTCCCATGATTAGCAATCCACCCCTAAGAAAATGAAAACATGACCACAAAAGAATGACTCTAGTAGGTCTAGTTATAATAGTCAAACACTAGAAACAGTCAAGATGCCCATTAAAAAGGGAATTGATAAATTCTCCTTTTATGTAATAAAATCCTACTCAGCAATAAAAAGGAAAAATACTATTATAAGCAACAAGATGGATATATTTCAAAAACATTATGCAAAATGCAAAGTGTCTTGCATAAAAGAGTACAGAGTATTTGATCCCATGTGTATGAAGTTTTCAAAAAGGCAACAACTAATCTGTGGTGCAAAAAAAAAAATAGAATAATGATTGCCTCCAGGGAGTAGAGGCAGGGAATCGACTTGAGGAGGGCAAGAGGAGACTTTCTGAAGTCCTGGTAATATTCTATTTTTTTGCTAGATGTTTGAATTACGGAGATAAATTCATTTGTTAAAACTCAGCAAATTAACGCTTATGATTTGTGTGTTTCATTGTATGTAAATTTTATATCAAAAGGAAAAATCCCATAAATAAGACCGAACACTTGTTAATGATATACAAGCTGATTATTCATGGGGAAGTACTCTAGTGGCTTAGGTTTATATTAAAATACATCAGAGACAGAATGGATTACTAGATGGATGGAGAGATGACTAGATGGATAGATGTGACAACAAAAGTTTAGCAAACTTTTAAATGTATAATCTAGAGGAGAAATATATAGATATCACATTAATAGTCTTTTAACTTCGCTGTTTAATTTTTTTCATAATAAAATGGTTCCACTGAAGGATAGTGATTTGTTTTGAGGATAGGGCCCAAACATTTTTTATAAAGCTTTTCATGTGTAGTCAGATTTAAGAACAATTGCCATGATATTTTCCAATTCTACCCCAGGGAATGGGAACCATTTCCTGCATATATTAACTCAGAGTTCAGAGGACTTTTCTCTAAACTTGACAAGCCATGTATAAACACAATGCTGCCACCCCTCTGACATTCAGTTTTGCTGCTGCACGTGGACATACCACTCTGCCTAATATGCATCACTATACCACCTATTATATGAATTAAGCTCAAACTAACTAAGCGCCCTAATATCTCCTTAGGAATCAACACTACTGCTGTACCACTCCACTTTGCCTTCCTTTTTAAAGAATTTTTTATTTTATTTTTTTACCTCTCATAGCCTCTTTTCTACTGCTTGTTGCACCAATTCCCCAGGATAATAACAGCATCTTCTGTTTGAGTTACAAAAGATAAAATTAAGACATCCAGTCACGAGATTGGATGAGCAAATATACAAATAGTATCTTAACTGTGTCTAAGTTGTTCCTCAAAGAAATCATAATTTTTAAACTCCATACAAGATTTTTAAATGGCCACCTTTTCATCATAATTGAGACAGGGTATTGGTTAGGACATTATGGCAGCTACCCTACAGAGCAGGCATGTTTATCTGGAGCATGGAAGGCAAAACAAAAGGCCCCCAAATAATTGTTTGTGGACGAGAACCTGAATGTGATGGTTTATTTAATGTACCAACTTGACTGGGCCACAATGTGGCCTAATATATGACCAAATGTGATTCTGGGTGTGTTTGTGGGGATTTCTCTAGATGAGATTAACATTTCAGCAGGTAGACTGAGTGAAGCAGGTTGTACTCCCCAGTGTGAATGGACATAATCCCATCCATTGAAAGCCTGAATGGGACCCAAAAAAGCTGAGTAAGAGATAACTCCTCTTGCCTGACTACCTGAGCTGGGATATGGGTTTTCTCTGCTGTTGGCCTAAAACTGAAACACTGGTTCTTCCTGGGTCTGGACCTGCTGGCCTTCAGACTAGAACTTGTACTACAACTTGCTATTCTGGGTTTCTAGCTTGTCAGCTGCATATCTTAGAACTTGCAAGCTTCTAAAATTTTGTGAGTTTTTTTTTCTAATTTTATTTTTGAGACGGAGTTTCACTCTGTCACCAGGCCAGAGTGCAGTGGTGGGATCTTGGCTCACTGCGACCACTGCCTCCCAGGTTCAAGCGATTCTCCTGCCTCAGCCTCCTCAGTAGCTGGGACTACAGGTGTGCATCACCATGCCCAGCTGATTTTTGTATTTTTAGTAGAGACGAGGTTTCACCATGTTGGCCAGGATGCTCTCCATCTCTAGACCTCGTGATCTGCCTGCCTCGGCCTCCCAAAGTGTTGGGATTACAGGCGTGAGCCACCGTGCCTGGGCAGAGCCATTTTTCTAATAATAAAAAATATATTTCTTTATTTTACTAGTTCTGTTCCTCTGAAAAATTCTAACAAGTACACTGAATAAGAATCCTCTGTTACAAGGATTCTTTGTGATGTCTTTATGAAAGAAACATGTTTATCAGAAGAGATACATGCCCTTCAGCACTATGTTGCTTTTTCTCTTCCCCAAATTCAACTGTAAGCTCCTCATATGCAAGGATCATTTTCTACTTGTCTTTGATTTCCCATTATCAACAAAGGCCTGGCACATGGAAGGTTCTCAATACATAATGCAGACTAATGTGAAAGTAATTTAATCAGAAATTCCTGTGTTCTTGTAACACCATTAGCTCATGAGCATCTGTGCAACTGTAAATATTCTATAATTCCATTGTTATTTTATACGATAACCTTGAATGCTAGTTACTAATATTGATTTTTGTAATTGAGAAAATTGAGGCGTATAGAGATAAAATAGCTTGCCAAATGTGGCACGATCAGAAAGTAGCAGAGGCAATATTTTAGCCCAGGTCTTTCTAACCCCAAAGGCTATGTTCATTCTATGCCTTCATTCTGCCTGCAATAGAGCCCAACAGAAGCAAGCATCTGTGAGCCTATCCTTCACATGTCACAGATCAATAAGAATTCCTTCACGTCTCTCAAAAGCTTGAACAGAGTTCATTACCACCATTGTAGAGTACATAATGTTTCCCATAAAATTTTTCCTATTTTTTATTTGTCTGGCAAGCAAAGACCATACACTCCTCTTTGGCCTCTTGTATAAATCATAAGATGATTCTGATGCTTGAGTGGAAGCGATCTGTCATAATTGTTAATCATTTTCCTTCAAAAGAAAGATCTGTTCAAGGTACAGTACAGAATTGTATAAATCACACACCCAGCATTGCTGCCATACTTAGTCTGATGAGTGAAAGAAAAACCTCTGACAAACTATCAGAACCAACCAATGGCCATTTTTTCTCTCTCAGATGTGTCAGCCTGCCTATACTACTAACTGTCATGGCATTATTTATCTTTGTTAGCAACACGCTGGGTTAAGCAAGAATGAGGTAAAGAAAAGGGCTTCCAGGTGAATTATTTCAGAAAGCTATAAATACATTCTTGGGACCATTTATGTATTTTCCTGTGATGCTTACAGGTTATCGTACCCCCTGTTTTGTCAGGAGTGGAGGCACCACAAAGCTTGCAGGTTTCGCAGAACTTAGTGTACATCAACTATCGGTGTTTTCAAGTATGTATACTAAATGGTAGCCTGGTAGGTTTTCTCCATACATGGTGGGTAAAATCATACTCTAGGGAAGAAAAGACTTGACTCACAGAGCTTGCCATCATATAAATCATCAGATAATTCTGACGCTTGATTACGAACTGAAGAAGGATACAGTTTGTCTTCTCAAAGCCTAGGGTCATGAGGAATTTAAAAGAGAACACAACTCCCAATGAATATGACACTTCAGCAGAGACCTAATGGATGTGTAAGAGTTAGCCTGGTTAGTTAATGGCTAGGGCATTTTTCAGAAGAAAGCTTGTTTCAGGCAGAAGAAAGAACCTGTGATAAGAGTCACAGGTAATGGGAGGCTATTAAAATTGTATATGGACTGATCATGGAGTGCAGACTAGGTTTGGGGAAGTGTTGAGGGGGTAAAGAGGAATGATGACACACCATGCTAGAAAGAAGGCATCAGGCACCAGTCTTTCAGTACCGCCTAAATCATGTTGAGGCACTTGGACATCATGAAAGGCCAATGAGAAATCTTAAGCAATTGATTAGGAAATTTACATAATCATATTGAATGGACAGCAGAGAAGAGTCAGGAATGTCAACCACAAGTCTGCTGTATTTATTTAGCTGAGGGAGTGGTACCTCTGAAGAGTGGCAGAGGGCAAGGAAAACTTTGAAGGATCCCAGAGACTTTCAGAAGATATATTTGATAGGCATTTGTGAAAGATTTGAAGGAGAAGACAGGGAAAAGTCAGAGTCAAGAATGACATTCAAGTTTCTGCCTTCAAGCAGTTGGACAGTTACTAATGGTAACTATTAAAAAATGACATAAGAAAAATATCAAGGCTTTCTTTAATGGTTCCATAGAAATCCTAGAATTAGAATATGAATTTCTACTGCCAGGAACAGAACTGTGAATTTTCACCGTTCCATGGAATATCTGAACATATGAAAACTTTATTAAAAGTATTGCTAAAATGTAATCTCCATTAGAAATACCTCAAGAATCTCTTGGCTTTCATGTCTTTTCATAATTCAAGATACCACCTACATAATTAAGATCCCCCTTCCCTCTGCCTTGGTTAGAATTAATATCTTCATCCCTTATGTGATTGTACATTATTTCTGCCTTTATTGTAACGGCATAGTTTTCCCTATTTCAAGGACATCACAATCGATTCTCTCTCTCCCAAGCAACACCGTGGTTAAGGTCTTGGACTCTGTGGTCAGACTCCTCTCATTTGAATTCCAGGCACTAACTTTGAGTGACCTTGCATAGGTCACTTAACCTTTCAGAGTTTCAATTTCTATGTCAGTCAAATAAGAATAATTCTAGAACTGACCACATGGGATCAGGGTAAGGATTAAAGAGCACACTTGTAAAGGACTGAGGGCAATATTATTTCTTACTATCATGAGCTCTTAGAGAAAACACACTTTGTTCCTTTGTCCCTGTCTCCTATAATGCATAGAACAGTGTTTTACACATCATAAGCATTCTATGCATGATTATTAAATGAATTTAATTTTATTTCTTATTCTATTTCTTCTCAAATAAAAATAGTTGGAGACTTTTGAAGACCACATACTAAATTTCTCTCTAAAGATTTAGCTAACCCTCATAGTTGACAAACAGTAGAATGGCGCTGCTTCAGGCCAGAAAGCTCCTTAATAAAATCAAATGTTTAAGTACCTTCAGTGAAGGTTTGTCTAAATGAGCCATAAAATTCCTAACACCATGATAAGTGATAGGTCTTTATTTGAAGATAACCTTGTCAATAAACCAGCACTCCTTCTTTTTCTTATATGAACAGATTATTAATGATATGTAAGCCAACTTTAATGTATACTACCATTCAGAAAAATTAGTTATTAGTAGGGTAAAACCTTCTATAGTGTAAAATATAAATAATAGATAGTAATAATTATTATTATAAACAATTGATAAAGAATAAAGAATTATATACTGGTAATGGAAATCCAGAATATGAGATACTAAATCATCTCAGTTGAAGCAGACAGGCTTGAAAATCCTGGTCTTGTTGAATTGCTTACCACTGTTTAAGGAGTTGCAACCCCTAGGTTTAGCAGGCTTGGTAAGCACTCTACTAAAGTAATGAAGAAGGTATCTGGACAGACTTCCTGGTTTAAGTTTTAGATAATGTATTTCCTAGCTGTATATGCCTCACCCAGTTACATACAAATCAGGAATCAATGAAGCCCACATGCCCATTGGACCCCACTTGCCCCAAGGAGAGCACAAACTGGCGTGATACCAAAGCACTGCCTCTTCCATCATCTCAGCTATCTCAGTCTTCTAGGAAGGAGACAAATGAGCCAAACTGGGTTAGCTCAAGACTAAAAGCTAAGTAAAGCACTATTCTAAATATTCAATGGGTTATATCTTTTTCTGCTTAAAACCTTGCAAGGATATTTAGATAGATTGAAATTTAAAGTCCTCACAAGACCCCTAAAGCCATACATGAACCAGACCCCCTCTGATCCTTCTTCTTTGAATTATTTTTTCTTGGTTATTCCATCTTAACCACTCTGGCCCACTTACCTCTCCTTGGATAGTACAGGTATTACCTCAGGCATGGCCCAGACTTTTGCTGCTCCCCTCAACCACCTCATGCTGGGAGTACTCTCAGCCAGCTATGCACATGGCCAACTCTCTCACCTCCTCTGCGTCTTCACTCCTAACTCTCCTTCTCAAGAAGTCTCTCCCAGATGGCTTTATTTAATTTGCAGTTCCCCTTCCCCACTCCCCCATGTTGCTGATCTCCATACTCTCTTATACTTAGTTTTCATCTTTTTTCAATAGTGCTCATTTTCTTCTAATATTTTATATAATTAACTTATTAACAATGCTTACAGTTTATTGTTTCTCTTCCCCTGGCAATCATAAATTCTACAAAGCAGTGCTTGTTTGTCCAAGGAGGTATTTCAAATGCCTCAGACAATATCAGTATCTAGTAGATGCTCAGTAGTATGCATTGAATAAAATAATGCATTATTCCTCACGATCTTCATAAGACAAGTAACTATCCTCTTTTCCTAATGAAAAATTGCATGACAGAAAGATTCCATAACTAGATTTGTTGCTCAGCTTACCTGTAGTAGATCCAGGGCTTCAAGACAGGCAGGCTCTTAACTTCTACCCTTGATTACCCTATATGGCCTGCCTTTGTTCATGCTTTGCCATGTTTGTCTGGTTCTCTAGTTCTTTCACTAGATTTTAGTTTCTTGAGGGCAAGTTACCTCTATAGAACCTACCTCAGTGACCTACCAGGTACTGGGGAAGTAAATATTCAATGTTTACTAAATTAAATAGCAAGTTACAACTAGGAAAATCTGACAAAGTAGAAAGACTTTGAAGCAAGTTAGATATAAGTCAAAATCATACTTTGGATATTTATTTGTTATATGCTGCTCAAAATATTACTTAACCTCTCTGAGCCTCACCTTCCTCATCTACACCATGGGACTGATATTACCTATGAAGATTATGCACATAAGATAGAATTCATGTGTTATGTTTATTTTCATGTCAAGTAATTAGAATACATTTTGTTCCATTTGCTCTGGATTCTAAGTCAAAGGCTGGGAAACTTTTTATGTAAAAAACCAGATAGCAGGCCAGGTGCAGTGACTCACGCCTGTAATCCCAGCACTTTGGGAGGCCAAGCCAGGTGGATCACGAGATCAGGAGTCTGAGACCAGCCTGGCCAACATGGCGAAACCCCTTCTCTACTAAAAACACAAAAATTAGCTGGGCGTGGTGGCAGGTGCCTATAATCCCAGCTACTCTGGAGGCTGAGGCAGGATAACTACTTGAACCTCGGAGGTGGAGGTTGCAGTGAGCCAAGATCACACCACTGAACTCCAGCATGGGTGACAAAGCAAGACTCCATCTCGAGGGGAAAAAAAAAAAAAACCCAGATAGCAAATATTTTAGGCTTTACAGACAATTTCTGTTGAAATGATTCAGCCCTGCTGTTGTAGTGTGAAAGTAGCTACAAACAATACATAAATAAGTAGATATGGCTGTGTTCCAACAGACCTTCTCAAAAATGGTGCATGCCTGATTTTGCTTGGGGCCATAGTTTGCAAACCCCTGTTCTAAAGCATGACACCTGGGGTCATTAGCTAAAAGAAATTCTCAACTAAAACTACTGGATTAAACATTTTAATATTGTTTATCATGTATTTATCCCTGGACACTGATGTCTTGTGTTGTAATTATAAACACTAATAATAGAAATGGGACAATTACAATTATCTTTGCAAAGAGTTTTACATACTCAAAATGTGCATCCAGTTCAGCCTTTCATGTCAGGTGCTGAGCAGCACTTTAAAGATGTTTATCAGTATGAGCAGAATGGTTCATATTGAGTCCTTTTAAAATAGCCTCATGACCGCAAGATGCTGACTTCTGGAGCTGAACCAGCCTAACCTGCCTTTCCCATTCTTGTTTCTGTGTGGTGCTACCTCAGGTGATTTGTCTATATCCTGAATTTAAATCTTGTTTCCAATACTCCTATAATCCTCTCTTTACCTGACTTGTTCATCCCAGCATCTTGTTACTGACCTTGGCTTGACTGTTTCTCTAGTCATTGAGTCCTAGATATCCCAAGGCCTTTTTCAAAAACAGCTACCCCCTGTCCAGCCTGTCCAGCATATTTTGTCACTTAGCAAGCTTGACAGCACTACTCTCGGGCTGTGAATTCCTTTTAGATCCTTATTCGTTTTAGGGTTAATTGAACTCCTTTGCCTTGTGTATAAGGCTCTGTGGGACTTGGCTCTAGTCATATTCTCAAAACTCCACAATATAGTAAGGCCCCTTTCACACGCCTTGTTGTTTTACACTTCCGTGCCTGCTATTCTCTCTGTGACACACTTTCCTTGTTTGAATATTTGGCAAACTTCTACTAATCCTTCAAAAACGGGGATTGCTGAATCCTCCCTTGATTTTTCCCCATAAAAGTTCCCCTTTCCAACCATTATCACCCCTGTACTCTGATCTCTAATCTCAGCAACAATCAGCCCCAGGAAACAAAACCAAAAGCTCTTCAGCAATTGACCCAGAACAGATAGGATTTGTTCAATGACTATAGCTTCCCTTATTTTTGCTTCTACCTCAGGACCAACCAGAAAAAGCCAGTATGTTCCCCAAACCAGTTACAGGGGATGCCCTGCTTCTAGTTAGTGCAACTGCAGCTTCTTCATGCCAACCACCTCCAATCAAAGCATACCTGAACCCTTCTCTTCTGTTCACTATGATGTTTTCCACTCCCCTGCCTACCTTTGAGTTTCTGGCTAACACAGTGATGATGGCTGATTCCCTTGCCTTAGGAAGCTCTGATAAAATAAGTGACAAAACAAGCTCTGCCTCTTCTCACATAGGTGTCTTCTTTTATTCCCACAATCCGTAGCACCAAGCATTATAAATATGTTCAATCTGCCCACACTGATGGGAAGAATATCAGGATAGGCAGTCATACTAAGTCTAGAAGCGTTCTGTGATGAAGCCTTTCTCTAAAACTTTCAGTACGATTAACCTAGGGACCAATCAGATCACACATCCGGTAGGATGTCTCATGAGCTAAATGGGAGCAGTGGACCAATGGAAATGGATATGTACAAAAGCAAAGAATAAGAGATACAGAGAAGAGAGCTGTAAAGTTACTGGGAAAGTCTTAAACATCCCTGTACTTTTGCTGTTATCACTGACCTTCTGATCTGCAAGGATGAATCAACTTATATAAAGGGCCTAGAGTGGGACAGATGTTTTAGTGTTTTTTAAATAAAAGAATAAACCCTCGAACATGAAAAGAATATGCATATTTGCACTTACTCTCATCTGGCTTTTTTCCTTTATTCTGCAATACAAAGCAATTTCACTTTAAGTTCTCTGTAATATATTTTATAAGACAATACCAAGGAAGCTTAATCTATTTTACACATGGAAGGGCAACAGAAAAGACTGATCATAATATGAGGAATAGGTGTGCCTCCAGGAGCATTACACCCAGCCATCAGTGCACACCAGTACACCTCTGATACCTGAAATTAATATCACAGCAGTGGGAAAGCTTAGTCATGCAGGCTGTGCTTCCTGCTGAAAGTAAAACCAACAAACTCAACACACACACAGGAGGTTGCCTTCAAATTTTAAGGACGATTATTGTTATCTGCCGTAAGTATGCCATAAGAATATTGCCTCTCTCATTTATTGCATTGAAAAACCTTAATATTTTTCCTCATTTCTAGTGTGGCATCAAATATCAATTGTACCTATTTTGGCAGTGGATCATATTAATTTAGGGAATGTGCTATGGAGCTGGAAACATGAATTGAATACCTCGTTCTAATCCTCAAATAAAGGACATGTTACTTATCAAACCTTTCGTTTCATAATCTGTATGATGGGTATATTGACATCAATCTCTTGGGGAATATTGTGAGAATAATATTAGATAATATGTGAAAAATATTTAGTGTGCTATAAGATAAATAATAGGATTCTTATTACTATATACTCTATGCATGTGACTATACATATATGACCATGTATACATTTACTATGTATACATGATATATATTTTAACATTTAGATTAGGCTTCCTCAAATTAACAGTTATGCTGTAAGATGTTCATGAATCTCAAAGGTACCTACATACCATATGCAACATATCAGATATAGTAAATTGAACTATGAATGTGTATGGCAATACATTTTAAAACCACAATACCATTAATCAATAAGGATGTTTGGCAGACAATTGGGCTCACTAACTACCAAAGTAACCACTCTGCACACCACCTTCACAGTACGGAGAACTCACACTTCTACTTCAGGGAAATAAAACCTATTACTGTTCTCAGTGCTTTTTGATGTCACTATCGAATACTCAAATATGTAATTATTGGGTGATTCATGATTTACTTTATATTTCACACAACCTTGACTGCTCCTTCCTTTTCCTGAGGTTCTGACAGCCTGACTACAATGTCCTCAATGCTTCCTCTCAGAACTAATTCAAATTTCACCTCTGCCACAAAGACTTTTCTTTATTTGCTCTTTCCTCTGTGTTATCATGGCCCCTGCTTGTCCTTACGAAGGAGGATAAAACATTGATTTATGTTTTGCTAATTATTTTCTCACCTGCTAGATTGTGAGTTCTCTGAGGACAAGAGATGATGTTTTCTGTGACTTTGTAGTAATAACAGCACAGTAACAGCAAGTCACTTTATTCGTTTATTCAGCAAGTTTGTTTGATAAAAGCTCATTAAATATCTACAACACGACAGGTGCTATGCTAGAAACATGGGTTTTGCCAGCAAATAAGACATGGCCCCTGCATATTTTCAGTTGAGCCAGGAAGATAAGCATTGGATAGGTAACTGCAGGCATGATGAGGGGTAGGGAAAATGCAGTCTGAAGCTGAAGGGAAGGCAAGGTTGATGTCTTTAGGTGATGTTGGGAAGCGGTGTGCCAATCAGCAGGAATAGCACCTAGGCAGAATTAATATTGTTGGAGCCAAGTTAAAACATCCAAGCGACATGTGATGGTGGCTCAGATCAGGATTATGTCAGAAGGGATAGAGAAGAAGAGGCAGGTTCAAAATATATTTAATGAGTAAAATGAACGGATTGTTTTGTTCATTTGCTGTGGGAGGTTGCAAGAGGTGGAAAGGAGTCAAGAACGAAACTTGGCTTTGAATTTGAGCAACTCTACCCTGACCCCAAAATTACTCTTTAAGGCTAGGCCAGATCCTGGCATTCCTATGATTACAGCTCTCCAAAGGCTCTCCTTGTTTTGAGAAAAGAGTCCAGATCTTTTGCATAGAAGGAAGACCACAGTCAGAACCCAGCCTCGATGTAGAATTTTGGCCTTTTTATTTCACCAGTGTCAAATTCTGTGAAGTTTTCCAAACTTGCTACATGGCTTATGCCTTCTATATCTGCCCATAATTTTCTCTCTTTCCTAAACTTACATTTTTTCATACTTCTGAAAATTCCAAAATTCCTTCAAAGCTCTCATCAGGTAACATTGCTTAAAACGTCTGTTAGCTTATTCCTTTCTATTGTTTTGTCTTTTTTTACTTTATGTGAGTTTATTTTACACTTATTGCATTTCATTAGAATACTGTGGTTGTTGCTGTTTTTGTTTATGTATTTTTAGCACAGATACTTTAATCTTTTAATGTCAGCAGATTTGAAAGTTTGTTTTGTTTTTTCCAGGCCTAGATGAAATTAGATGTTAGGGTATAGAAAACTGAAACGAGAACATTTTATACTTTTCCTTTTAGTTTAGAGAGCCAAAGCTGCGCGCGTGCACGCACACACACACACACACACACAATTTTCTTTCAAAGTTCAAAAGTATTTTTCTAGCCTGAAGTAACCAACCTGGAAACAGAAAAAAATAGAAAGAAAAAAATAAGAATATATTAAGTTCATGTCACTATGCTAGATCTCATTACTCAAATTATCTCATTTTATCTTTAGAATGATCCTGTGAGGCTAGTTACACTAGTTCTGGGCAACACTCAATCTCTACCTTTTGGAAACCCTAGGGATCAATTTAGAAACCTTTGCAGTGGTGCTCACAAGAAACTAAACGACATTGCTCATTGTTCTCCCCAGTGCAGACCCCAAATGACTTCTTCCTTGTTTGATATTCTACGTTACAGGGAATGACATCATTAAGCTGGCACTTGATTTATGCTGGGTAAAGGGGAAACTGTGTCAGAGATAAATTAGATTGCTGTCCTGTCACAATAAAGATCTCATCTTTCATTGTAAAGACTCCAAATTATTTCCAAAGCATCAGGGAAATGCACACAATGACAATAAACAAAAGGACAGCAAGACAAATTCTTGGGATTCTCGGAGCCAGTTCTCAATGACCCTCTGCTTGCACAATGACGAATGTTCAAGCCTTCCTAGAGTATTATTTATCCAAAATGTTTTGCATTTTTTTGACTTTATGGACTTGGGAATTATGACTTATTTGTCACTTCTGGAGAAAGACCTACCTTTCAGGCACCCATTTTCTTCATCTACATTATTAAAGATAACAATACCAATTGAAAAGCATGATTGAGAAGCTCAAATGAGTTTAGGAATATAAAACCAGCATAATGCATGACACAATTATTTTTATGTATTTAATGTTGGATTATCTGGAGTCTGAATTTTAAAAAGACTCGATATGCATATACATAACTAAGTAAAAAAAAACTGCATGCTAATTTTCACTACACTTTGGATGCAATTGGCTGCTAAACTGCAGCATTAACCTTTCACAGGACATGCTAGATTTATGGAGAAAGACCATCAGCAGCAGAGGCCATATCAACAATAAATGACTCCTTTGCCATGAACAAGCTAACTTAGTTTAGCTCAAATCCTAATAAAAAGTGTTTTTCCTTTTCTCCCCCCAAGCAAGCTTTTACGGAAAATTAGTAGCTGGAGAATATGACCAACAAAATCAGTTTCATTATAAATGCTTTATAGTGAAATGTTCTTTACTTGAAGAAAATAAAAATGCCAAGGAAAATTATCTGACATTTATAACCCTTTCACTTCAAAATGCATGAGAATTCTATATGGAAACATTAAAGGAATATGCTAATTCACCCTCTAAAGAACAAAGGAAAACCTGAATAAAAGGACAATGGCCTTCAGGCTTAGTGATAAGAAAAGTTAACAGTGACCTGAATGTCAATTTGTTGGACTATTTGTTCTTTGTTTTGAAGTTTTTATTTTTTTCTTTGTAGTTGGTTAGAAACTGAATTATAGCTATGCCAATGACTTCTAAATTTATAATTTCAATCAATCAACAACTTCCCTTGAGTTTTAGATTCATTTCTGTCTTTTTCAAAACTCCACTTGGGCATTACACAGTATTGTCAAAAGTTTAATCCAGCACTTTTTCCCCAAACCCTCCGTTATCTTACTTCATTTAAAGTTACCACCAAGCCATATTCTGTCAGTGATGCTTGATTTTCTTTATTCAACCATCCACATTTAATCACTACTCAAACCCACTTGATTCTTCTTCCTGAATATTCTGGAGTGGACCCACTTTCCTGCAACACCATGACTGCTAGTCTTCCAACACACCGCTTCTCACCTTGACTACTGAAATAGTCTCTAACGTGCTCTCCTTGACTCCCCCTCAATTCACTCCATTCCCCTTGTCACACCTGAGCCAAGGCTCTTTCTAGAGTGTAAACGCAAATCTGTCCATAACTTCTCACTGTTTAAGTCCCTTCCAAATGTTCAAAGGAGAAATTTCGGACTCTTTTACATGGATACATAATCTTGTCCCTGCCAGTCTTTCAACCTCAGTTACTCTTTCCATCAACCTTTTTACTTTTACCATCATTGCCATTTCCTTTAACTGCCATATTAGCTCTCATATTTCAGCCTTTCCAGTCACTATTCCTTCTATCTGAAGTGCCCTTCACAGCCCCTCTACTACCATTGAATAGTGACTGTTGAATAGTCACATTTCAACTTAGAGATTACTTTGTGAGGAAAGATTTCTCTGGTGCCACCCGTGGCCAAGTGAATTAAATGCCCTTTTTGTGTACTTCCATAGAAATCTGACATTTCTCATAACATTTACAATTTTTTTTCATTTAATTATACATCTTCATTAGAGTGCAGATTTTCTGAGGGCAAGAACATCTGATGACATAATCACCCCAAGGCCTAGGACAGTATCCAGAACACATTTAAACATGCTCAATGTGTTACATGTATACATGTATGTACAGTCTGAAATTTAGTCTCCTTCTGCACTGAGAAAATGGAAACAGAACAGAACTGCCACCCATCCCAACACTATCTATAAGAATCTACATGAATCTGTGCCACTCTACTTGGACTCCCCTCAGTTAAGCACTAGGACACTCATTCAATGACTTTGCCCCACATTCTCTTTCCCCTTTACTATTTGTTTTCACTATTAGATCATTCCCAAGAGTAAACAAATATGTTATTATTTCTTCTCAAAATAAGCAAACAAGAGCCTTCTCCCTTTTCTTACATTTTCTGTTCTACTTACTGGCACATTTCTTACCTATTTATAATTCTTTGAAGGAGTTGTCTGTATTTACTCTCTCTAATTCATCTCCCTCTTATTTTATATCAAACAGACCCCATTTGGCACATTTCATCATTCTCTCTTCCTTCAGAGATTTTCATTTCTAGTTTTAAATACGCCTCCTACCCTCTGGTTAGTCCTCTTTCTCAGTTCCCTTTGCTGATTTTACTGCATCGAACTGAACTCTAAAAGCTGGTATGCCTTACGCCTAAGTCCTGACATCTGTCCACAAAATTTTAGAATGCTATATATGCCAACAATTCCCAAAATTGCATTTCTAGCCCAAAAGCCTTTTTCTTCTGAAATCCAGACTTGTGTAGCCAATGCTGACTCATTATTTCCAACGGAATACTAAAAACTCATGTCAAACTGCTGTACCAGAATTTTCTGTGCTTTAAAAAAACGTTTTACACACATGCTCTCCTCTATCTCAAGGAATGACAACTCTATCCATCCAGGTGCTGAGGTTAAAATCTTTGGAGTCATTTTTAAGGTCTCTCCATCTCCACAGACAAAAAATGCTTTTGGCTCTATCTTTAAAATATATACAGAATGTTACCACTTCTCACTGCTTCTACTGCTAGCGACTCTGACCAAGGCATCCTCAACTCTTACCTGGGTTATTGCATTAGATTCTTACCTAGTCTTCCTGCTGGTATATTTGTCCTGCTACAATCTATTCACACAGCAACTGTATGATACTTTAAAATGTTAAGCTAGATTACCTCACTCCTCCTACCAAAATAAAAGTTAAAGTTTTTACCATAACCTTCAAGGCCATGGTATCTGGTCCCTGATTACCTCTGACCTCATCACCTATTATTTGTCCTCCTCGCTCATTCTGTTTTAGGAACACTAGCCTCCTTGTTTTTGCTTGCTCATGATAGGCATATTCCTGCCTCAGGGTCGTCACAAAAGCTGTTCCATACGCTTGGAACACTCTTCTGCCAGGTTGCTATTCAAACATCATCTCTTTAAGGAATCTCCACACTGTTTTCCATAGTGCTTGTACTAGTTTACATTTCCACCAACCATGTAAAAGTGTTCCCTTTTCACCACATCCATGCCAACATCTATTATTTTCTTATTTTTTGATTATGGCCATTCTTGCAGGAGTAAGGTTGTATTGCACCGTGGTTTTGATTTGCATTTCCCTGATAATTAGTGATGTTGAGCATTTTTCCATGCTTGTTGGCCATTTCTTCTTCTGAGAATTGTCTATTCATGTCCTTAGCCCACTTTTTGATGGGATTGTTCGCTTTGTTCTTGCTGATTTGAGTTCTCTGTAAATTCTGGATATTAGTCCTTTGTTGGATGTATAGATTGTGAAGATTTTCCCCCACTCTGTGGGTTGTCTGTTAACTCTGCTGATGGTTTATTTTGCTGTTCAGAAGCTCTTTAGTTTAAATAAGTCCCATCTATTTATCTTTGCTTTTGTTGCATTTGTCTTTTTGTTCTTGGTTATGAAGTCTTTGCCTACACCAATGTCTACAAGGGTTTTTCCAATGTTATCTTCTAGAATGTTTATGGTTTCAGGTCTTTAAGTCTTTGATCCATCTTGAGTTGATTTTTGTGTAAGGTGAGAGATGAGGATCCAGTTTCATTCTTCTACATGTGGCTTGCTAATTATCCCAGCACCATTTGTTGAATAGGGTGCGCCCTTTCCACACTTTGTTCCTGTTTGCTCTGTTGAAGATCAGTTGGCTACATTTGATCCAGCAATCCCACTACTAGTTACCTACTTAAAGGAAAAGAAGTCATTATATGAACAAGACACTTGCACACGCATGTTTACAGGAGCACAGTTTGCAATTGCAAAAGTATGGAACCAGCTCAAATACCCAACCGTCAATGAGGGGATAAAGAAAATCTGGTATATATACATATACTCCATGGAATACTACTTGGCCATAAAAAGGAATGAAATAATGCCATTCACAGCAACCTGGATGGAATTGGAGACTATTATTCTAAGTGAAATAACTCAGGAATGGAAAACCAAATATCATATATTCTTACTCGTAAGCGGGAGCTAAGCTATGAGGATACAAAGGCATAAGAATAATACAAAGGACTTTGGGGACTTGGGGGAAAGCATGGGAGCAGAGTGAGGGATAAAAGATTACACATTGGATAGAATGTACACTGCTTGGGTTATAGGTGCACCAAAATGTCACAAATCACCACTAAAGAATTTATTTATGTAACCAAACACCACCTGTTCCCCAAAAATCTATTGAAATAAAAAATAAATTTAAAAAAGAGTGAGTTTCAAGAGGAGGAAAAACGTTGAGAACATAAACATAGAATTAAAAAATGGTTAGATTGGCATTTAGAAAATTGTCATATGTAGTCCTATATCTGCCTGTGAGCTGGCATTTATATTATTATTACAGGTTTCCAAAAGTAAGTGCAACTTTAGAGTTTAGTGAGGCTAAATAAACTGAAACATGCCATATATTTTGATATGATTGTCCTTGAGAGCAGGCTGAGTGGTATTGAGTGCAATTTTACATTATGATATGATACGGTTTGGCTGTGTCTCCACCCAAATCTCAACTTGAATTGTATCTCCCAGAATTCCCACGTGTAGTGGGAGGGATCCAGAGGGAGGTAATTGAATCATGAGGGCTGGTCTTTCCCTTGTTATTCTTGTTATAGTGAATAAGTCTCACGAGATCTGATGGGTTTATCAGGGGTTTTTGCTTTTGCTTCTTCCTCATTTTCTCTTGCCACTGCCATGTAAGAAATGCCTTTTGCCTCCTGCCATGATTCTGAGGCTTCCCCAGCCATGTGGAACTGTAAGTCTAATTAAACCTCTTTTTCCTCTTAATCTCGAGTATGTCTTTATTAACAGTGTAAATTTGGACTATTACATGATATGATAGCAGAGTCAGTCTGCCAAATGAAAAAAAAAATACGTTATTTTTAATATACATATACGTATACTTTTTTCAAAATCCAGTTGTATCATCCAATTAAATTATGATTTAAAGGTACCTGATAATTAATGGAGAAAAACATTAAAACAACATTTATAATATTACAATAATTTTGATATTATTGTAAATATCAAAATGTGAAGTACTTAGGCATAAACGTGAAAAAAGCGAAACATCTGAAAACTACAAAATACTGCTGAAATAAATTACAAATAAATAAATGGAATTCACAAGTCATAAATCTCAATATTGTTAAGATGTCTACTCTTCCCACATTGATCTATAACAGTCCCAATCAAATCATAGCTGGATTTCTTTTAGAAATTGACAAACTAAAATTCTGAAATTTACATAGATGTGCAGAGGACCTACAACGGCAAGTTACTTTGAAAGGCAACAAATTTAGAGAACAGCACCTGGTCTCAAGACTTACAAAGTTATAGTTATTAAGACAATGTAGTACTAATATAGTTATATACATGTATATCAGCTAAGTCTTAATAAAGTTCTGAGACAATTCATGGACATAAAGATAACACTTTGAGCAAATGCTCCTGAAACAATGAGGTAGCCCAGTGTGTGTTTGTGTGTATGCGTGTGGCTCAGTACTTCACACCTGAGAGGTATGAGTGTTCACTACAAAGAGGAACTGGAAAGCTTTGGGCGTGTTGGACATGTTCACTCTCTCCTTCACGGTGATTGTTTAATGGGCACATGTATATGCTAAATTCGTCTCATTTAGACTTTAAACATTGACAGTATGTTTGATATTCATTAAACATAAAGCTATAAAAATGTTATCAAAAAAGAAAAAACAAATATCATCTCAATAAAGCTTACCCTGACTAGCAACTAGCCATTTTAAAATTCCACTCCTTTTCTAAAATCATTTCCTGTACTCAGTTTTATTTTTTGTAATCTCCATGGCATGTATTATCTTCTAGCGTAATATGCAGTTGGTGCTCTAATGCCTTCTCCTCCCATGAGAATGTAAGCTTTTTAAAGGAAGTTGTTTTGGTTTTTTCAATGCTGTATTCCCTGTTTCACCTAGAATAATTCCTTGCACATGCTATATTCTCAATATACATTTGTAGAGTAGATAATCATGCCTTTCACAATAAATATCCTTTCTTTTTAGTTTGTTGAATTGAGAGCAAGGTGAGTAAAGGGCAATTACTTTATTTGCTTTTTATGAACCGTGGACATGACTTGTGCTTTTCATATAAATGAAATAAACAGATTGATGCAAGTTAAAACAAAAACAACAAGGCCCACTCCTTTGTTAGATGGGAAAAATGAGCCTGCACCTCAAACAAACTTACCATCACAGTTGATTATAAAAGTAATTCTTCCTGCTTATCCAGTGTTTTGTAAATGTGAAGTGTACAAAGAAAAAAAACCATAATTCCACAATCCAGAAATACTACTAATATGAATGTATTTACCTGTAGTCTTTTTCCCCAAATACACACACAAGTGTAAATGTCTAAATGTATAATCACATAGTATGTATGATTTTTAATTATTTCTAGTTTTAGTCAACACAACATATAGATTAAATTTTTATACAAATTACAAAAACACAACTTAAACAAAATCTCCCTTGACCACTAGCATGATTACTTTGCTACATTCTGTTTTTCACGTTTTAGAATGCATCCTGTAAACTAGTTTACACGAGGTATGAACATAAATCTTCTCCATTTTAATAATTTAAAGTTATGCTCACATTCTGTCTCATTTTTTAATGTAGAACATCCAATAAACTAGAGAGACACCATTCATTTTGGTGGCATTAAGAATGAAATGCCCATGGCTATTTGTCAGATTTGAAGTTTATTACCTGGGAAGCAGGCAACCCTGCTAAGTTGCCTGATCACTCTACTATCCTTATTTAGAGCAACCCTACACACTGGAGAAAAGTAATTGATTGGGACAATTATCTAGCCAGCCTTCCCACCTGCTCCCTCATAACAGTCAACCAACCAACTAAACAACAAATAAATAGAAATGAACTCACTATTCTCCTGAAAATAAAAACCATTGCTTTGTAAGTATCTCGATAATGGTAACAAAACCAATTTTACGTGAATGAGATAGATAATTTTACACACAGGAAGGTACAAAGTATTGCTTTTGCCTCAAGTATCTGGTTACTTAAAACAAAACATTTATTTTTGGTCTGATTGTCTATGTGTCCTTTCACACTTCTGGTGTGAAGTGAGACAAAATTGCCTTATTTCTCCGTTTACTTTTCATTAGGCTTACCATCAAGAATAGAATACTCATTTTTTTCCTTCAGTGTGAAAACTATCCCCCTTTGACCCATTCCACAGACTACACCAAAACAGTGACCAACATCCACCAAGTTTCTATTTGACCCACGAATTATTTTAAAACAGCACCTCCCTCTGTTGTTGTTGTTAAACAATGCATGGGAAGGAAGTTTCCAAACTTTTTTTTCTTGGAATTATGCCATCCTTTCTGAGTTTCATTTTAGAGGTAAAAGTACAGCACTAATTTAAAATTTAATATTCAGATTACATTTAGAGGTATGCTTGTATATACAGTTTTATGTACTATCACCTTGAATCATGCAGTGGAAACATATTTTCATCAGATTTCTTTGTTAGGTCAGTACACAGCTTCCTTCCAACCACATCCTGATGTGGAGCTGGCCCATTTCAGTACTGACATCAGTGAAGTACCATCAGGCAATAGAAAACTTAGGGAAACTTAATATTTATTAGTTTGCAGATTGTCTGAATATTAATTTGGCTGCATTGCGTTCCAGTGGGTCCTAGACACACAAAGGAGATACAAATGCCTTCTGGCCACAGAATTGGAAATAAATTCCATTCCTTCCTTATTAAGCACATATTCTTTTTGCATTATTCATTTATTTAAAGTTATAGAACATACATAATGTGCCAGGTATTGTTGTACGCTCTGGAGGTACAGAAGCTTGAGATAATGAATGAAAGTGCTTATCACACTGCTGGCATGTGGTTACAGGTAAGAAAATTACCCACGAAAAAAAACAAAAGCTCAGAAAGATCAAGAGTAATGTTCATGGTTACTAGCTAACTAATCAGATAATGAATAAATGGCATGTTTCTAGAGTTACACCACCTGGGTTTAAATCTTAGATGCACCATACACTGGTTTACTGTCTTCAGGAAATGTATTAAAACACCTCACGCCTCAGGTTGCTTATTGGTGCATGACAAAAATGATAGCTATCACATAGAATTGTGGTAAGCAACAAATGAGCTAACATGTGTAAAACAGTAGAGTGTCAAGCACAGAAGTGCCCAACACGTGAACTACTTTTAATATCTACATGACATGCTATCTCTTTCAATAATAACCCATGCAATTTTGAATGTAGAGAAGCAAGCCAACAAACTAACTTGATTTTTAAAATAAAATGCTAAAGAGAATTTTTAGACCATTTGCAGGAAGTAAATGAAACATCAGTTTACTGGGTTTTAGTTTGCTAAGTTGATTTATGCTGTTGAATCAGGGGAGGGTGCTAGACAGGCAAAGATGTTAAGTTTTTAAAACTGTGGTAAAGTATATTCAACAAAATTTACGATTTTAGTCATTTTTAGGTGTGCAGTTCAGTGGCATCAAGTACATTCACACTGTTGTGCAGCCATCACCATCACTCTTCTCTAGAACTTTTTCATCTTCCCAAACAGAAACTCTATACCCATTAAACAATCTCTCTCCATTCTCCCCTCTTTCAAGCCCCTGACCACCATCATTCTATTTTCTGTTACTATAAATTTGACCCCTGTAGGTACCTCACATAAATGGAATTATACAGTATTTGTCTTTTTGAAGCTGGCTGATTCCACTTTGCATAATGCCTTCAAGGTTCATCCATGCCATGGAGTGTGTCAGAATTTCATCTCTTTTTAAGGCCACATAATATTCCCTTGTGTGTACACACCATTTTGTTTTCTATTCATCTGTTGATGGACACTTGGGTTGATTCCACCTTTTGACTCTTGTGTATAATGCTGCTAAGAATAGGAGTGTACAAGCATCTGTTCAAGACCTAGCTTTTGATTCTTCTGGGTGTATACACAGCAGTGAAATTTGTGATCATATGGTAATTTTATGTTAGATTTGTTGGGGGAATTGCCACATTTTCCACAGTGGCTACATCATTTTCCATTTTTACTAGCAATGCACAATGGTCTCAATCTCTTTACACTCTTGTCAACATTTGTTATTTCCTGGGGTTTTGTTGATGATAGTCATCTGATGGGTATGAAATGGTATATCGTTGTGGTTCTGATTTGCATTTAACTTATGATTGGTGTGTTAGTCCATTTTCATGCTGCTGATCAAGACATAACCGAGACTGAGAAGAGAAAGGGGTTTAATTGGACTTACAGTTCCATATGGCTGGGGAAGCCCCAGAATCATGGCGGGAGGCAAAAGGCACTTCTTACATAGTGGCAGCAAGAGAAAATAAGGAAGAAGCAAAAGTGGAAACCCCTGATAAACCCATCAGGTCTTGTGAGACTTATTCACTGTAACAAGAATGACATGGGAAAGATCAGCCCTCATGATTCAATTACCTCCCCCTGGGTCCCTCTCACAACTCATGGGAACTCTGGGAAATGCAATTCAAGTTGAGATTTGGTGGGGAGAGAGCCAAGCAACATCGTTCTGCCCTGGCCCCTCCAAATCTCATGTCCTCACACTTCAAAACAAATCATGCCTTCCCAGTAATCCCTCAAAGTCTTAACTTATTTCAGCATGAACCCAATAACCCAAATTAACAAGGCAAGTCCCTTCTACCTATGAGCCTGCAAAGTCAAAAGCAAGCTAGTTACTTCCTAGATACAATGGGGGTACAGGTATTGGGTAAATACAGCCATTATAAATGAAAGAAATTGGCCCAAATCAAAGAGGTTACAGGGCCCATGCAAGTCTGAAATCCAGCTGGGAAGTCAAATTTTTATGAAAGCCCCAAAATGATCTCCTTTGACTCCAGGTCTTGCATCCGGGTTACACTGATACAAGAGGTGGGTTCTCATGGTCTTGGGCAGCGCTGCTCCTGTGACTTTGCAGAGTACAGCCTCCCTCCTGGCTGCTTTCATGGGTTGGCATTGTGTCTGCAGCTTTTCCAGGCGCTTGGTGCAAGCTGTTGGTGGATCTACCATTCTGGGGTCTGGAGACAGTGGCCCTCTTCTCACAGCTCCACTAGGCAGTACCTCAGTAGGGACTCTGTGTGGGGGCTCCGACCCCACATTTCCCTTATGCACTGCCCTAGCAAAGGCTCTGCACGAGGGCCCCACCGCTGCAGCAAACTTCTGCCTGGGCATCCAGGTGTTTCCATACATCTGAAATCTAGGTGGAGGTTCCCAAACCTAAATTCTTGACTTCTGTGCACCTGCAGGCTCAACACCATGTGGAAGCTGCCAAGGCTTGAGGCTTCCACCCTCTGAAGCCACAGGCCAAGCTGTACCTTCAACCCTTCCAGCCACGGCTGGAGTGGCTGGGATGCAGGGCACCAAGGACCTATGCTACACATAGCACAGGGAACCTTGGCCCAGCCCACAAAACAACTTTTTCCTCCTGGGCCTCTGGGCCTATGATAGGAGGGGCTGCCCTGCCATGAAGGTCTCTGACATGGCCTAGAGACATTTTCCCCATGGTCTTGGGGATTAACATTAGGCTCCTTGCTACTTACGCAAATTTCTGTAGTTGGCTTGAATTTTTCCTCAGAGAATGGGTTTTTCTTTTCTATCGCATAGTCAGGCTGCAAATTTTCCAAACTTTTATGCTCTGCTTCCCTTATAAAACTGAATGCCTTTACCAGTACAACAAGACACCTCTTGAATACTTTGCTACCTAGAAATTTCTTCTACCAGATACCCTGAATAATCTCTCTCAAGTTCAAAGTTCCATAAATCTCTAGGGCAAGGGCAAAATACCACCAGTCTCTTTGCTAAAACATAACAAGAGTCACATTTGCTCCAGTTCCCAACAAGTTCCTCATCTCTGTCTGAGACCACCTCAGCCTGGATCTTATTGTCCATATCGCTATCAGCATTTTCGGCAAAGCCATTCAACAAGTCTCTAGGAAGTTACAAACTGTCCACCATTTTCCCATCTTTTTCTGAGCCCTTCAAACTGTTCCAACCTCTGCCTGTTACCCAGTTCCAAAGTCGCTTCCACATTTTCAGGTATCTTTTCAGCAGTGCCCCACTCTACTGGTACCAATTTACTGTATTAGTCCGTTTTCATGCTGCTGATAAAGACACACCCAAGACTGGGAAGAAAAAGAGGTTTAATTTGACTTACAGTTTCACATGGCTGGGGAGGCCTCAGAATCATGGTGGGAGGCAAAAGTCACTTCTTACATGGCAGCAGCAACAGAAAATGAGAGAGATGCAAAAGCAGAAACCCCCTAATAAAACCGTCAGATCTCATGAGACTTATTCACTACCACGAGAACAGTATGGGGGAAACCGCCCCCATGATTCAAATGATCTCCCTCTGGGTCTCTCCCACAACACATGGGAATTATGGGAGATACAACTCAAGATGAGATTTGTTGGGGAGACAGCTAAACCATAGCAATTAGTGATGCTAGGCACCTTTTCATGTGCTTATTGACCATCTGTATATCTTCTTCGGAGAAATGTCTATTAAAGTCCTTTGCCCATTTGAAAATTAGGTTGTCTTTTTATGAGTGAATTGTAAGTCCTGTGCACTTAATACAGATTAATCAGTTGATTGCACTTCCTGGTAAAAGCTGTGGAATAAATGTTTAAATGTAAATAAGTAAATAAATGTGTGTTTTGTTTGTTTGTTTTTGTACATCTTAGCATGAATGAAAGAAAGGAAAATGTAAAACTTGTTTCCTTTTAAGGCAGATAAAATGAAGCTGTATACATTTTGGTAGACCCTGAATATAATTACATATACAAATCCTTCACTTCATTTTCTACTGGGCTCTACTGCTTATCTTACTCAGATCTCAATCTCCAAATTTTGTCTAGATATGTCATTGATTATGCCTATTGCCTATGACTGTGTGTGTGTGTGTAATTTATGGTTTAAAGAGTATATACATGTTGGTAATATTTCACAAATATAAAATGGATTGTTTAGGACACAGTCAACTCCCTGTCCTGAGGTAATATAGCTTAAATATTACTTTATTGGTTCTTATGGCTGCACAAAAGACATTTAACAAATCTATTTTTTTCCTAAAACAATGTAAATGTATTTATTATTTTCCTTCACCAAAACAACTACATATGTGAATCCAACATCACCATATCTCAT
Organism: Homo sapiens; assembly: GCF_000001405.40. Taxonomy (NCBI): domain Eukaryota; kingdom Metazoa; phylum Chordata; class Mammalia; order Primates; family Hominidae; genus Homo; species Homo sapiens. The sequence goes on from NC_000011.10 coordinate 80,575,441, forward strand.
CATGATTAAATATACACCAGGGCCTTTCTAGAAACTACAGTTCTGATTACATTATCAGAGCACCCTCCTCTGTATATAATGACAGCTAGCAGGTGTTGATGCAAACAGCTTGCACTGGAAAGCTTTTTAGTAGGATAGAGTTAGGCATCTAACTCTCACCTCACATCCTATCTCTACCATTTGCTATAGGTCATACAAGGGACTTAGGCTCTCCAAGCTTTAATTTCCTTGTTTACAAAATGTAGACTTGATACTTGTCTCATAATATTGTTATTAGGCATAAATTATACATTTAAACATATTCAACAACAGAGGTACAACAAATATTAGCTACCATTTCTGACTTTTCATCTATACCTGAAACCTTAATATAAGAGTTAGCCCATATCTCCTGCTACCAAAACAACAATGCAGACCAAACTTGAGTGTGTTAGAGTGACAGGACTATGCAACTTCACAGGATAACAATTCGTGCTCTTTGTGATTAGTAACGAGGAACTTCATGCAAGAAATGAAAGGGCCAGGACTGACCAGATATCCTGATCCAGGATCCTTGTGATACATAAGGAAGTGGCCATGGATCTAATTCCTACAGTCCCACTGCTTAAGGTCATCATGAGGGTGATAACCCTCTCCAATTTGCCTGATAATCCCAGTGGACACCTGCTCTTCCAGGGCATTTATTCATAAAAACACTTGTAACTCTCAAGACTGTCCTGATTATCTCAAGAAAGTAGATAAAGAAAAGCGAGTAAACCCAACATAATCAGAAGGAAGAAAATAGTAAAAATAAAATTGAGAATAGGAAAACAACTTAAAAACAACAAAACCAAATAATTTTCTTTAAAAATATCAGTGATATTGATAAACCTCTAGCAAGACTGACAGAGAAGACAAAAGACACAAATCACTAATAGCAGGAATAAACTGGATATACACTACAGATTCTGCAGCCACTATGCACAAATTAATGCTCATAAATTCAACAACTCAGAATAAATTGACCAATTCCATGAAACATAATCAAAATTCAATCAAGATGAAATACATAGCCTGTTCTATAATGATACCATAACCAGTAAATAAATGTGTAATTAAAAAGCTCCCCAAAAAGAAATCTCCAGGCCCAAATGGCATTACTCACAAATTTTACCAAATATTCAAAGAATTAAAACCAATTTTTATCAGTTGTTTTTAGAACTAGAGGAGGAAGAAACAGTTCCTGTTACCTTGACATCAAAACTAGAAAAAGTTCAAAGAAAGAAAGATACAAAACAAAATCTTGTACGAACATAGAAAGCAAAATTCCAATAAAATATCAGCCAATCAAGTTCAGCAATGTATAAAAATGATTATACATACACCATGACTAAACGAGATTTATTTTATTGGTTCTTCATCCTATGGCTGCACAAAAGACATTTAGAAATACCTCATCTTATCCTAAAACAATTTAAAAGTATTTATTATTACAGTCTGCAAGGCTTGTCCCACATTCAAGAAGCAATCAATGGAATTCATTGTATCGATGGGCTAAAAAAAAGAAAAATCTTCTCATTATGTCAGTTAACACCAAAAAAAGCATTTGGCAAAATCCAACACCGATTTATCATAAAAATTCTCAGCATACTGGGAATAGGTAACTTCCTAAACTTGAGTTTAAAAAATCTACAACATATCTAGAAGCTAATAGGATACTTAATATTGAAAGACAATGTGTTTCCTTTGAGATGGGGAACAATGCAAACCTATTCACTCTCACTACTATTATTCTACACAGTGTTGAAAATTCTAGGCAACACAATAGACAAGAAAAAGAAATAAAGATTTCAAAAAAAATAAAACTGTTCTTGCTTGCAGATGACATGATTATTTACACAGAAAAACCCCGGGGATATACAAAAATACTCCAATAATGAGTACAGCAAGGTTCCAGGATCTTAAAAGATCAATACACAAAAACTAATTGGATTTCTATATACTAAGATTGAACATGTAGAAACGGAAATTAAAAACACAATACCATTTACAAGCACATAAAAAATTAAATACTTGGATTAAAATCTAACTAAACACGTATAGGATCTGTATGCTGAAAATTTTTAAATGCTGACAGAAATCAGAAAAGAAATGCATTGTGTTTGTGAATAGGAAAACTCTGCATAGTAAGGATATCAATTCTCCTCAAATTATTTACAGTTATAATATGACTCATCAAAATATCAGTATGTTTTCTTGTAGACATAGGTATCATAAAATTCATATGGAAAGGCATAGGCCCCACTATAGCTAAAAGCAACTTGAAAAAGAAGAATGAAGTGAGAGAAATAATTCTACCTGGTATTCAGAGCTATTATATAGCTACAGTTATTAAGGCAATGTGGTTAAGAAGGAGGGGTAAATCCACAGGTCAATATAGTAGAATAGAGAACCCAGAAATAGACCCACCAAAATATGCACAATTGTATTTTGACAAAACTGTATAAGCACTTCAATGAAGAAAGGACAGCCTTTTAAACAACTGGTGCTGAAGGAGTTAAATTATAGAAATGGGGATGTCACCCAATTAGTGGGTGACAGGAATTGGTAACAGAGAGATGGAGTTGGGGTGGGTCAGAGTGACTATAAAAGGCAACATGAGGGGTCTTTGTAATGACAGAACTGCATCATAACTGTTATCAAAGCCAACCCCACGGTTGTGATATTGTACTATGATTTTACAAGATGTTACTGCTGGGGGAAATAGGTAAGGGATGTGGATTATCTCTCTGTATGATTTCTTCCAACTTCATGTGAATCTAAATGTATCTCAAAATAAAAATTTTAGTTAAAAACTGTCTTCGTGTGACTGATAAACTAAGAACTGTCTAGCTATCATCAGGAGGAACTCTAGGAATATCATAATCTATATTCCTTTTTTTTTTTTTTTTTTACGATAGAGTCTTACTCTGTCACCAGGTTGGAGTGCAGTGGTGCTATCTTGGCTCACTGCAATCTCTGCCTCCTGGGTTCAAGAGATTCTCCTGCTTCAGCCTCCCGAATAGCTGGGACTACAGGTGCGTGCCACCACGCCCAGCTAATTTTTGTGTTTTTGGTAGAGATGAGGTTCCACTATGTTGGCCGGGATGATCTCAATCTCCTGACCTCGTGAACCTCCCACCTTGGACTCCCAAAGTGCTGGGATTACAGGCATGAGCCGCCGCACCCAGCCCAGAATCTATATTCTTTATAAAAATCAATGTAAAAATATATGGCTAACAATGATAGCTAAAGTTTATTGAGTATCTACTATGTACTGATCACTTTTCTAGGTACATTGCATGTGGTATTTTCTCTTTACAAGTCTGTGAAGTAAGCATCATTAATACCTTTACCTAATATGAGAGAATGTTAAAACATAATGAGGTGGCTGGGCACAGTGGCTCACACCTGTAATCCCAGAACTTTGGGAGGCCAAGATGGGTGGATCACCTGAGGTCAGGAGTTCAAGACCAGCCTGGCCAACACAGCAAAACCACATCTCTACTAAAAAAAAAAAAAAAAAAAAAAAAAAAGGACAAAAATTAGCAGGGCATGGTGGCAGATGCCTGTAGTCCCAGGTACTCGTGAGGCTGAAACAGGAGAATCACTTTAAACTGGGAGAGGATGGCTGCAGTGAGCTGCTGAGATCACACCACTGCACTCCAGCCTGGGAGACAGAGTGAAACTCCATCTCAAACACAAAAAATACATAGTGAGGCTTGGTACCTTGTTCAAGGTCATATGGATATTGTTAAGTTTAAATCCAGGAAGGCTGATAACAGTGTCTATGCTCCTAACACTTTGCATACTGCCTCCCAGTACAGAAGGCAATATGCTATGTTGACCATGGTTTATCTTATTGAAAACTGATTTTCAATCAACATTATGGCCCTCCTCATGAAGTTCCAAGATAAAACAACAACAAAAAAACCAACTCACTTGATCATTAGCTGGCTAGCTAACTATGTATGTAGACCTAGTAGAATATCTGAATAACAATTAAGATTTTAATGCTACAAAAAGTAAAGAATAATTAAATTTATCATTTGGCTTCAGGATTCACATTTCGGCCTCGGAAAACTACCAGTTGTAAATGTTTGGTTTATCTTTTTCTTAATGGTTTGACAGAATAGTTGCATCTTATGTTGGTCAGTGTATTAATAACAGAAAACTAGCTAAAGTAGCTATAGAGTTTTGGAGACTGTAACAGGTACCTTGTCAACACCTAGCATAGGGACTCATATATAATAGGTTCTCATTTAATACATACGCATATGAATTTATTAGTGAGTTAATTTTATGAAGCATCTAATATGTTCCAACTATTGCATAAGCACTGATATAAAAATGAATGAGACATGGTTTCTGGTAAAACAGACATGTACATGGTCTAAACAACAATTTTTGAAAAGGAGTAACATTTCCCAGAAAGGCAATAAAATAATCTTTCATTTATTCATTCATAACATTCAACAAATTTAGTGAATGAATACCATGAACCAACTATTACTTTTAGTTATTTTTTTCTCTATCAATTTCAGTGCACTTTAAATGGGAATAAGCACGACACTGACACCAAATAAATCATTACTGGTTGGTTGATTTCTGTGATATAATAAGACTCACAGAATGGACAAAGCCTGCAATCATAGCTTGTACACTCTGTGCAGTCTTTGATCCTAACCTCAGCCAAAGATTGTTCTCCATTCTTTTGTTCAGTGCTTACAATAATAAACTGACCTGTGGACATTATAATTTTTACAGTGACTTATTATTAAAGAGTGCACCAATACTTCAGGAAAGCAGGAGTACTGAAGAATTATCTACCCATCGTCTACTCACCTATAGCTTACAGACAGTGCATCATAAAAAAGCATATACTCTTCCATTTGTTCTACTCCAGGATTCATACCTAAACCATGTATATGCTTCATGGACAATTTTTTTCAGAAAGACTCCTGATTATATCCAAAATTTGACCTAATATATTGTCTTTAGTGTCATGCCACAATATAATGAGTAATTCCACTGTATTATACCCAGAGAAACTGTTTCATTTCCTTCTTAGAAATAGTTTTGTTCTGACTTGTTATTGGTCTGATTTACCATGGGATTTATTATTTCCTTATCAGACACTTTAGTAATTAAGATATGTTGCTTATGAAAGTGCTTTTTTAGAATTATCAATTGCTTTTAAATGCACAATTTGATGAAGTAATTTACAGAGTAGAGTCAACATCCAAAAAAAAAAAAAAAAAAAACACCCAATGCAATAGGCAATGCCTTTCTAAAAGACATCATGGGTATTAAATTCCCAGCTTCATAGCTTCCTTATAGTCTTGTGAAGAAAGTGAAGCAAAGCCACGGATCCAGCTCCATTTTTTTTTTTTAACTGACATGATTCCAAGAAATTCTGAAGAAAAAGAAAGTTAAATTTTACAATACAAAACCATGGTAAGATGGGCTGGAGACTCTGGTATTTCATCCTTTTGCATCTTGCCAATTCACTCGCTACTGCACATAGACATATAAATCATCCAATTCCTTCATTTCCCCTTCTAGTTCATCAGCAGGCTGCATCTTCATTTGAAAAACACTTTGTAGTTCTTAAAGGATAATTCTGCAAGTGCAGGATGATGTTTCATTCCAACAACAACAATAACAAAATTGAATTTTGGATAGCCTTTAGCATTCCACAAAACAGCCTCTAAAGAGCCCCTGGAATTATGGTATCTAAGTCTAAAGAGGAAACAGAAGAAATTCAAATCAAGAATTCAGAAGTGAAACATGTTTGCTAGGCTTTTTCTCTCCTGACTTAGAATGTTGTTTCCAAAAGGTTTAGTATTTTGCAGTCATGTGATATGTAGTCATTCAAAAAACAAAGTACTGGAAGACTGGGTGGATTCAAACAAGAATAACATAAATATCCTCATGAAACCAACAGTCTGGTATACGTGAAAACGGAGGAAATTTTTTGAGTTCTTAGTATATAGCTGTGGCTTTGCCCTATGTTTGCACATATCTTATTCAATCTTTACAACAATCCTGTAATATAGCTTATGTTACCTTCTTTTTAATAGGTTTTCATCTGGTTCATCAAATTTGCTACTGATGCATATGTAAGACAACCTCATTACCACTGACCTGGTCAAAGCCACCATCACCTCTGGTCTTGTCCATTCAAATAGTTTCCTAATTGGTCTCCACATTTATTTTTGCCCCTTTCCAACCTGTTCTGCACTAAAAAGCCAGGGTAAGCCTTTGGAGACCCTACTACTTCCCTGCATGAAATGCTTCATTGGTTTCTCTCTTCATTTAGACCAAATTTCTAACTCGTCAATGGCTTACAGCGTAGCACTGCATAACAGGGTCCTTACCTACGTCCAACCTCATCTCTTCCTTTACCCCCCACCTCACCTTCCCACCCAACACACACACTTTTGCTCCTTATGCTGTGCTCATGCTGGGCTCCTTTCAGTTCCTCACAAAAACTGAACCGATTCCAGTCATTCTAACCTCAGAACCTTTGTACAGATGTTTTTCCCTTGAACTGTCCCCAGTCCCAGCCTCCTCCCTACCCAACCCAGCCTATCATATTCACCATTCTGTAGTGTTTGGTCACAAGTGTCCCTCCTTAGGCCTTTTCTGGTCATCCTGTCTCAAAGCCCTTTAAGTATGCTTCCATATGCCAAAACCAAAAAAATCATAACATGATTTTCATAGCATGTTTCACAATTTAAAGGATGTATTTGTATGATTAAGTCTACTAGCCTATAAACTTCTGATAGTAAAGTCCAGATTGCCTGGGGACACTGTTACCTCCAAGGTACCTAGCAGTACTTTGCCCATGGTAGACACTCAGGATTTTACTGTTTACCTAATGAATTCACTAATTTAAAGGGCTCTTTAAATTAGCTGCCACACTGGAAAAGCCTCCAGAACCTCAGTAACAAACAGCATCATCATAGTCAATGTTAACCAAACCTTTATATTTCTGATGTTGTACTTAGTTACACGTATTTCTCCCAACTCTTAGGAGAACCCAATGAGGAATGCATTATCATAGATTTTCATTGATGAAATAGATTCATAATGTTTAATTATCTAATCTTATCTAATTAGTAAGTAGTTGAAATGGATTCAATATAAATAAGTTTTGCTTTTAAATCAGTACTTTTCCACGTCCAGTGATTGGTGGCTTTGTGATATTAAACTACGTCGGTTCTTCTCCTTTGGTTCTGCTTATCCTTCTCAGTGTGTCCTGGGAGGCTGATCTCTGTGGGTTATATTCCCAGGTTCCTTTGATCCTCTTTCTCCTGTTGTCCCATCGCGTTCAGCCAATAAAAAGCATTTACAGGTCATAGGATTGGAGGAAGACATGTCAAAGCATTTATTCCCACCCCTGCTGCTTCTCTGGTCAGTTTTTATTGGGTGGCTTTCTTCTGTGGCTACAGAGATCACTGGTAATATACTTTCGTCCCTCTGCCCCTTCAGGACTGTTTTACTCATGGTTCTCCAGAAAGACAGAAGTGGTAGGAGAAATACATATATTTATATATATATAGATATAAATATAAATATTTATATAGATATAAATATAAATATTTATATAGATATAAATATAAATATTTATATAGATATAAATATAAATATTTATATAGATATAAATATAAATATTTATATAGATATAAATATAAATATATAAATATAAATATTTATATAGATATAAATATAAATATATAAATATAAATATTTATATAGATATAAATATAAATATATAAATATAAATATTTATATAGATATAAATATAAATATATAAATATAAATATTTATATAGATATAAATATAAATATATAAATATAAATATTTATATAGATATAAATATAAATATATAAATATAAATATTTATATAGATATAAATATAAATATATAAATATAAATATTTATATAGATATAAATATAAATATTTATATAGATATAAATATAAATATTTATATAGATATAAATATAAATATATAAATATAAATATTTATATAGATATAAATATAAATATATAAATATATACATATTTATATAGATATAAATATATACATATTTATATATATATATAGTCTCTGTGTCAACAATGAAAATGGATAGCATATTCCTCATTGGGTTCTTCTAAGAGTTAGCAGAAACATGTAAGCACAATATCAGAAATATAGAGGTTTAATTAACATGGGCTATGATGATATTTGTTACTGAGACTCTGGAGGTTTTTCTAGTGCTTGCAGAATTTAAAGAGACCTTCAAATTAGTGCACTTTAAAAACATTTTTCTTTTAATACTCAATTCCTTCATTGTAGTTGAAAGTGATTAACACAAATTTGTGTTTGAAAGTGATTAAAACAATCACAATAGACACTTTTGGGATCCTCACCTGTTATGTAAAACCAAGGACTTTTCAAACATAAACTGGAAGGCTTTAACAAATAGCGCAGTAGGTTTGCCTGCCAAGGAGCCTAATATTCAACTGTATCGCAGAAATAAGTGCAGTGGTTATATAAACTGTCATAACCACTAACTTAACACGTGGCGTTACTCTGCTTACTTTTAGCAGATGATTTAACTACTGTTCCTCCTGGAGACAACAATACTAACTCCCCACCTTCATAAGTTCCTTAACCACCCTCCCATTCTACCTCTAAAATTACATCAAAAACAGAAGTGGTTTAGAAAGTAAATTACACGTGAGAGTTTCTAGGATTCTGAGGTTTTACAATTGCAGAGACATGGAGTGCATTTTGTTCTGCATGAGTATACAGGAGAGGCAGTATGTGTGATATATTAATAAATTAGCATATTAGGTAAACAAATACTGATTGTCTACCACGGGCAAAGCACTGCTAGATACCTGAGGGGTGTGTGTGTGTGTATATGTATATACACATGAGAGGCGAGGGGAAGGAGGAAGGGAGAGAGAGAGAGATGTGAGAGGGATTTATCAGGAAGATTGGCTCACATGATCATGGAGGCTGAGAAGTTCCACAAAGGGTCGTCCGAACTGGAGAATCTGGAAAGCTGAGGATGTGGCACAGTTCAAGTCCGAAGGCCTTACAAATAAATAAGCTGATGGCATAACTCATTTCAAGGCCAAAAGCCTGAGTCGGGGTTGCCGGGGGCAGGCTCTGGTGCAAATCCCAGAGTCCAAAAGCTGGAGAACCTAGCTTTCTGACATCCAATGGAAGGAGAAAAACATCCTGGCTCCAAAAGAAAGAGAAAAATAATTTGCCCTTCCTCTGCCTTTTCTCTCCAGGCCCCCAGCTGATTAAATGGTGCCTGCCTGCATTGAGGGTGGAGCTTCTCCACTCAGTTCACCCACTCACAGGCCAGTGTCTTCCGAGAAATACTCTCACATATACACCTGGGGCAGCCCAAGCATTAAAATCAAAAGCAAAACCACCTGGGTTTTCCTTTTAGCAGAAAAGGAATGGGCTGCGTGTCGTCTGAAGGGCTGAGAATAAATAATGCTCTACCAGCTATTGCAGTGTCCCTGAATGCAGTCAAGCTGAGGCCTCAAGTCAGCCATCACTGGCCTGAGGGTGGCAATGGCTTCCCATGGCTGCTCTCCTGGAGCTGCTGCCTTGTGCCCCTGTGGCCCCCTTAACTCTGAGCACCTGTCTCAAAATAGCCTCTTTATTGAACCATTGAACTCTCTTCCACTAAACCCTCTGGATAAGCCATTCATTTCTACCTGAGACTATATAATTCCTAGTTAGTAGAAAACTTTTGTCTGTTATTTCATGAATATTGGAAGGAAAAAAATAAGTGTTCCAGAATTTCTACTCACACCTTTATCTCCCTGACAATAATGACAATGAAGATAATATTTAATAAGCTTTTATACTTTTATGTGTAGCAAGCCTTGTGACAAGTGCTATTTTTCCATTATTTAATTAATTAAATCTTCACGACTATTCTATGGCACAGGTGGTATTATCCCAACTTTACATATGAGGCGATAGGCACAGAGAGGTTATGTCATTTACCTTAAGTCAAAAGTAGCAAGTGGTGTAGCCAAGATTTGAGCCTGGCCAGCTGAATCCAAATCTGATCCTCGTTCCCAATGCCACAATTACAATGATTTTATAAAAATAGCTCTCAGAGGCCAGGCGTGGTGGCTCATGCTGTAATCCCAGCACACTGGGAGGCCTAGGTGGGCGGATCACGTGAGGTTGAGAGTTCAAGACCAGCCTGACCAACATGGAGAAACCCCATCTCTAATAAAATACAAAATTAGTTGGGTGTGGTGGCATATGCCTGTAATCCCAGCTACTAGGGAGGCTGAGGCAGGAGAATCGCTTGAAGCTGGGAGGCCGAGGTTGTGGTGAGTTGAGATTGTACCATTGCACTCCAGCCTGGGCAACAAGAGTGAAACTCCATCTCAAAAAAACAAAAAATAGCTCTCAGGGTAGAAGAAAGTCAAGAACCCCAAGATAACTTTGTAGCAAAAAAAAAAAGCCATTCATCCCAATCTCATTTCTTTGCAGGTTCAAGTTACCTCTCAAAAATCCCTCCAAATATAGATTTCTACTTCATAACTTGCATTTCCTAGTTTTAATACTGAAATGTTTCCACTTAAATATTTGAGTAAAACTTGAAATTCAAGAAAATTTACCAAGTTCTTCTTACAACATACTATGCTCCCTGACATAATGCCCTTCATATTCAAAAAGCCTAGATGGATGTGGGACAATTTCAGATAAAGTTCTTTTGGTAGCTTTCAATACTGGAACCCTGGTCACATCATATATTTGTTTTGTTGTTTATTTGTTTGGCTTGTAACAAATACTGCCTTTCATTCAATGTGAGGATATGTTAAATATGCATCACGTGGTCTAATTTTATGTGGAAAGGTGAAATATTTGACACCTTATGTCCTTTGCAAAAAACAATTTCCAAATTCCGTGGGGGAAATAATCACTTTTAAATCTTATTGATCAACTAGATTTAGTAACACATTCATTACCTAATTTGATCTCCGTAAAAACTTATGAGATATGACCTTCATTTAAGAGTGGAGGCCTGACTTAGTGACATTGCTGGTTAGGGAAAAGCAAAATTGCAGCCCAGGCCTCTTGAATGCTAACCTGGCTTCTTATGTTGCATCTTACTCTGGCTGCCAGCATAAAATAGGCATGAATCACCTGGAGATAAATCCTAATGCCTAAAGATTCCTAACAAGAGAGGAATGAGCTCCCATTAAATGAATGTGACCTTTGCTGAACCCCAAACATTTGAAACCAAGTGGGTGCTTTTGGGTTGAGTCTTGGGCCACCAGACCTACAAGACCTTTCTGGGTGGATTTGCAGTGCCTGTAAGGCAGCTACTGTTGAAAAGTGCTATCCATTTGCCCAGACAGTACATTTGGGAAAGTTTGCTTTTCTTTGCTTCCTTTTAAATCTGTCATTTTAAGCAATTAATCACCTGTGGAGTCTTTTACTTCCCAGGAGAGATTTCCAGTGTTTTTGCTACATTTCAAATCCCTTCAATTAAACCCATTTCCAAACCAAAGGACTCATTTTACTATTATTTAGTTTAGGACATTTAAAAATTGTCCTATTTATTTCCCGATAACATTTTAAGTGGCTTATTGTAAAAGCACAAGGGAGAGAAGCCAAAGACATTTGACATAATCAAATAATAATACTTGCTGATATTTATTTAATGCTTATGATGTGCCAGCCACCATGCTGGCCCTTTACATACATTATAATATTTGCCCTAATCTGCGAAGCAAGTATTTTCATATGAGAAATTGAGATTTCAGAACTGAAATATCTTGTCTACACAAATAAAATAGAATGGAGCCAGGACTAAAACCCAAGTGTGTCTCACTTCATACTCCTAACTTTGTAAGCACCGTAATGTATTGTTTTTCTGAAAGCCTTCCCCATGACCATGCCTATCAAAGAGAAATAAGGCATGACAGGACAGCGGGGAGGGATAGAACTATAATTTTAAAAATTTGGTGAAAGTAAGTTTTAGTATCTGACCATATAACTTAGCTAAAAGTTTTGTAGCAGATAGGACAAAAGAAAAAAAATGCAGAAAGGTCCAGGGGAATAGTAAGTGACCAATTTCAGAGTTAGTAAATCCTGATTTTAAATTCTAGCTCAGCTACCAACTAGCTGTGTAACTTCAGACAGGTTACTTCTATTCTCTGAACTTTAATTCAGTCATCTATAAAATAGAGATAGTAAAATTACTTTGTGTTACTGAGAAGTTTAAAGATAATATGTGCAAGGGAACTGATGGTTTCTGACACATGGCAGAGACTTTAAAAAGCTAGTAATTGTTGCAAAACTCCTCTGTTAGCCCATTGCAGTGTTTGTTTCTCAGAATACTCCTGAAATTTAGGGCTCATATTTTGCATTTTACAGAAGAGAAACCCGAGGCTTATAAAATGTTAATAATTTCAGTAAGATCATGTAGAGCTGGGATGAAAACATATAGATATCAACTAACAAGTCAATATTTTTTTTTCCATCACACATTGTTTTAATTGTCCAACCAAAGGAGGAAGACCTGTTTATCATAAAAACCATATCTTTTCCTGGCTTGGAGCCTGAGAAGTATTGGCCATGAGAGCTATTAAATGACAGCAGTAAGCAAAGTAACTACCAATGTCCTAGATGACAGATTTATGAGAAAGACGAAGGCCTTCCTTGTATGACTGGTTCTTAAATGGTTCATAGTAAAAACCAAGTGTATGGTGGAAAACAAAGTTATTTAAGCTAATTTTGGCAGGGGGTTGGGAGTGGAGTAGATGATGCGAACCAGACATGTAGCCTTCTTGTGGTGTCACTTAATACAAGGTTAAAGCCGGGAACCTCTTGAGGAGTGAATTCCTATAAAATATCCACTCTGGGTTCAGTTTGATAGTGGGGCTTTTAACTAGAGTATAACAAATAGTGGATAGTTTTGATGCATATTTCTTTAATTCCAAGACAATTAACAGTTTACAGAGACTTTAATATAGGAATCTGGCCTCTTTTGTGGGATATGGCACACATTTTTCTAGGTATTTGGCAAGAATTTGGAGAAATAAGAAGAAACTTCATCAGACTTTGGGATAAGTAAATAGCCCTAAAGCACGTCCTATCAGTCATGACCTGTAAGTGATAGAATCATTCCCAGTTTCATGACTGCCAATCAGTTTCATCCAAATGTTAAACATGGAATTAATTCTTCCTTCATTTCCTTAATCTGGGGTCTCTGTATATGGTTTCTTCCTTGCTCACTTAGATTGAAACTATGTTGCTTTCTTAAGCTTTATTTTTCATTTCTATATAATGGAGACAATATTAGCCCTCCCTTAGTCATGGTGATTATCAAATGGGATGGCTTATATAAAGTTCTTCGAAGCATGCAAAATGTAAAGAGCTGAATTGTATTAAATTGATAGGTATTTTCTAAATGAGAGTCAAAATTTCTAAGGTGTTTTCACAATCTATTGCTGTTTTTAGTGATAAATGGCAGAATACCACACCCTAAATATGTGCATATATTTATACACATACACCTTATTGGGAAATGTGAACTAATGCTTCCCAATACCTATCATGAACTAGGCATTTTTAAATTCTCTATCTCATTCAATATTCACAATCATCCTCTGAGAGATCAGTGCCTTCCTTTCTCTGTTAACAGGGCCTATCTCATTTCTAGGATGAGGCAGCTGGCATATTGGGAATCATAAAAAGAATAAAATATTGGGAATCATAAAAAGAATAAAATAGGATGATATAAGATATATCAAATATAATGGTAAAATCTTAACTGCACCAGTAATAATAATTTGATTATACTCATCAAAGATATTAACAATCAGGAAATTTGATAAATTGAATATATATTTGAAGCTGTATAGTAATTATAACATAATTACTATACATGCTCACCAGGTTAGTAATTACTTAAGCCTGGCAATGCCCAGCATTGGCAAGATTATAAAACAACAATAACTTATACTAGTAGAAGTAAAATTAATACCACTATTTTAGAAAATCATTTTCTATAATCATGTAACTTTGAGGATCCACATACCCTACAGTCAGCAATTTAACCTCTATGGAGTTATAGCATAGAAAATATATTGCTTATGTATACCAGAAACAAATATACAAATGTTCATACAACAGCATTGTTACTAACAACAGTGAGGATAAATAATCCAAATGCCTATCAACAGGAAAATGGTTAAATTATGTATGATTTATTCTTATACCAATATACTATTACAGAATTAATGAGTGAACTATAGCCATATGCTTCAACATATATGAATGTCATATACCTAATGCTGGGTGATAAAAAAGTGGAGACAAATAATTTTGGTGGACACATTTATAAAAAGTTTCTTACGGATACATACATATGTAGTAAATCTAAAATAAAATGTAACTAAATGACAGTTCAGAAGAACACCTTTATGCACACAAATGAGAAAACCTAGAGGAAATGGATATATTCCTGAAAACATAAAACTTCCCAAGACTGAAACAGGAAGAACTAGAAATCGTGAGCAAACCAATAATGAGTAATGGACTTCAAATTATACAAGGCTAGAGAAACTAAAAGAGCACGGTGCTGGTACAAAAATAGACATCAATAGAACATAACAGAGAAACCAGAAATAAGGCCACATACCTACAACCAACTGACTTTTAACAAAATTGACAAAAATAAACAATGGGGAAAGGACATCCTATTCAATAGATAGTGCTGGGATAATTGGCTAGCCATATGCAGAGGAATGGAAATGGACCTCTATCTCTCACCATATACAAAATTTAAGTTAAGACAGATTAAAGACTTAAATGTAAGACTTGCAAATGTACATGATGTAAATTATAAAAGTCTTATTAATAGGAGAAAACCTAGGAAAAACTTTTCTGGACATCAGCCTGGCAAATAATTTATGACAGAGACTCCAAAAAACAAATGCAACAGAAACAACAATAGACAAATGGAACTTGATTAAACTAAAAGTCCTCTTCACAGCAATAGAAATAATCAAAAAGTAAATAGAAAACCGACAGAATGAGAGAAAACAAATTATGTCTCTGACAAAGGGCTAATATCCACAATCTACAGGAAACCCAAAGAACTCAACGAGAAACAATCCCATTAAAAACTGGTCTAAGGACAAGAAAAGATATTTCTCGAAAAAAGAAATACAGGTGGCCAGGAAACACAGGAAAAAATTCTCAACATCAGTAATTACCAGAGAAATGGAAACTAAAAGCACACTGAGATATTTTACACCAGTCATAATGGCTATTACTAAAAGCCAAAAATAACAGATGTTGGTGTGGATGTGGAGAAACGGGGATTCTTGTATACTGTTGGTGGAGATGTAGATTGGTTCAACTTCTATGGAAAACAATATGGAGATATTTTAAGGAACTAAAAATAGAGCTACCATTAGTAATCCCACTGCTGTGTATCTACCCAAAGGAAAAATAAATCATTTTTCAAAAAAACACACCTGCACTCATATGCTTATGGCAGCATTATTCACCACGGCAATCATGGAACTAATCCTAGTGTCCATCAACAGTTGATTGGACAAAGAAAATGTGTTATACAGACACCATGGAATACTATGCAGCCATAAAAAATAATGAATTCCTGTCCTTTGCAGCAACATGGATGGAGCTGGAGGCCATTATCCAAAGTACACTAACTCAGAAGTACAAAATCAAGTGTTGCATGTTCTCACTAAATGAGGACTAAGCTATGGGTGCACAAAAGTATACGGAGTAGTATAACGGATATTGGAGATTCAAAAGTGGGGAGGTAGGAAGGAGATAAAGTTTGAAAGATTATCTATTGTATTCAATGTTCAATATTTGAGTGACAGAGACACTAAAAGCCAAATCCCCACCATTAGGCAATATACCCATGTAACACACATTCACGAATGCCCCTTAAATCTAACATTAAAAAATAAAAATTAAATAAAAAAAGAAGTGTCATTCAATAGTACTGTTAATGTTTTAAAGTATGTGACAAGTAAACAGAAAAGTTCTTCTGGACATGTGAAGTATATTTTATATGAAAATATAAAACCTCATAGTTTCAAAGTATATGGTTAGGAATAAGGGTATATGTATGCATAAATGGATGTATGTAGACTAAGGCTGGAAGGAACAATGCAAAACAAATCATGAGGAAGTAATTGCTGATACACACACAAACACTTCTTTAAAAAAATAAAGCTTCCTTGGCCATCAATAATATATATAGTATTAATATAAATATAAATATATATTATTAATATAAATATAAATATATATATATATTTTTTGAGACAGAGTCTTGCTCTGTCACCCAGGCTGGAGTGCAGTGGTGTAATCTCGGCTCACTGCAACCTCCGCCTCCCGGCTTCAAGCAATTATCCTGCCTCCGCCTCCTGAGTAGCTGGGATTACAGGTGCACGCCACCAAGCCTGGCTAATTTTTGTATTTTTTAGTAGAGACAGAGTTTCACCATGTTGGCCAGGATGGTCTCAATCTCCTGACCTCGTGATCCAGCCTCAGCCTCACAAAGTGCTGGGATTACAGGCGTGAGCCACCATGCCTAACCCATTAATAATATTTTAAAAATAAAAATGTGATTAGGGAAAGTAATAATATGCTCGTAATTATTTATATCTTATAGGCAAGCATTCCTTTACTCCTTGTTTAAAAATTAAAAAATAATAGTCTATTGTATAGTCAAGTTGATAACTATAAAATAAAACTAACAATTAAAAATTATTTTGAATCTATTAGCTTTCAATGGCATTTCTTAGCAATAATTATTCATTTGAACAATATAGCATGTGTTCAACTTCAATGCATAGATGACTACATGGAATTCCCAAGAACCTAAACAAAGGCATTTTTGGGAAGATTGTTTCTTAAACTAAATCTTAAGATTATGCTGTTTATTGAAGGCTCATTCTTGAGTACGAATGAGAAATAATTTTAATGAACAATTTTCATGAATTGGAGAGGCAAGCTCAATCACATTTGTATAAAGTCATTTGTAATACAGCACACACAACAGATAAAGCTAACTCTCAGTAAATGGTGTATTGATTTTACAGCTGTGAATGCACATTGTACTATTTAGAGAAAATGTCTGTTCCAGTATCTGCCTATTCCATGGGAATATGTGTCTACGAACTAAATGCTAAGATAAGAGCTCCTCTAATTTGTTTACATTATGTGGTATTTACCCTGGAGTGTGGTAACTGTTAGAGAAAATAAAATCACATGACATGGAACAACTTTCTTATTAAACGAAAGTGTGTACGTGCATGCACATGCATACACACACATATATACACATAGAAAGATAAGGAAAGGGAGAAAAAGAGATTCAGGTTGAGAGTGGGAACTTAGTACCACCAGGTACTGTGCCAGACACTAGGAATACGAAAGCTAAAAAGTGTAGTCCCTGCATTATAAGATGAGAGAATAACGAGGTGGACTATCAAGTTCAATGTGATAGGAATAGTGCTGTAATGTTGATATGCAAATGGTGCAAAGAGGAAAACACATCTTCAGTTGCTGACCAACTGGAGTCAAGGAAGGAGTCACAGGAGAGGAGGTGCTGAGCCTTGACGAGGTTGTTGAGAGAATGAGAGGAGGAAACACATTCAAAGCCAACTATGCATTAGCACTGAAGTCTGAAAGAAGAAGACTTTAGAGAAACAGGCATCATTTACTGAGCATGGAGCAGGGGTACATAAGAAGCAGGCAATGAGATTGGAGAAGCAAAAAGGGACAGGATCAAAAATAGCCTTGAATCCAGGAAGTTTTGAGTAGAAAACTAGCATATGCATTTTTAATTATAGATGTATTTCTCTGGCAAGATTAAATGGGTCACAGTTTTAAGAGCATCATAAAACGTCTAAAAGACTGTTAAAAATCACTGAATAGGAATGGTAATATATGTATGTTATTATAGATGCTTGAAGGTGAAAAAAATGACATAAAAACAAAGAAATACCAGAATCTCTTTAAGGAAATAGTCATCAGATGATTGAGGGTCCAGGGATCTGGATGTGGGGTATGATAAGCAGTCCCCCCTGAATGTTAAAATAACCACATTTATTATGTGCTCCCTATGTATTAGGCAGTCTGCTAAATATTTTATACTCATTATTTTGTTTAATCTTTCCAACACATCTAACAGTAGGTCTTTTGAATTCTGTTTTAGAGATGGGAACTCTGAGAATTAAAGAGGTTAAATAACTCACCCAAAGTCACACAATTAGTAAATGGAACAGTGTTTTACTTCAAAGCCTGAGCATCTGCATATAAAAAAGGACACAAAGCCCACATCACTGGTCTAAAGATGAGCAGGTCACCTCCCAGCATTAAGCCAAGAGACTATAGAAACACTACTGCTATTATAAAATTAACAAAGCAAATAAAAAAGTAACTACTGCTATCATATCAAAGTAAAACTGCTATCATATCAAAGTAAAAAAAAAGTAACTACTGCTATCATAAAACTAAGCCAAAGAATAAAATTAGACCTAAAGATCGAGAAGAATGACTACTCCAGAGAAACAGGAAGCGCCAAAGAGCTGTAGAGTATGCCTTTATCTTCTCCTGCCTAGGGTTGGCCACTGACTCATCCAGGAAATGAATGGCAGGCTGGCTGAAAGAGTATGAACAATAACAATGCCACCAGTGACAATTGCAACAACAGCCTGTTTATTGGATACAAACTATGTGCAGGGTCTATGCCAAGCTTTTCATACATGAGCTAACTGGTGCTTAAATGAGCTAAGTGACTTGTCACTGTTCTTTCAAGTCCAAAACTCATTATTCTTTTATGCAGAACTGCTTTCCACATCTGACTGACTGAAGAAATATCTGAATGACCCTATAGAGTTGGTGTTTAAATTGCTATATCAATTTACTCTAACAACTTTTCTGCCTCAATCATGTCTTTCTGCCCTATAGCAGTAATTTGGAGGATGAATTTGAGGTGGGGTTTGACTCTGAACAAGTCAGTTTTGTTGAAGAGTTATATAAGAGTACCCATAATCACTTCGATAATAAGTGGGATGTTTTCAAGTTGAAAAATTCTCATGTAGTTTGTGGGTGTGTGAGGTATTCAGAAAAATCCTATTACTAAATTGATGTAAATGCATTTTTCCCAGGTGCCCTAAGGTAGGCAGATGAGCACAGCTACATGAAGCTTATTGAACAAAAATTTAAATTCACAAAATAGATACATTAAGGAGTACTTATTCTCAAGAGAAAAAGCAATGTTCACACTATGCAAGGATTTCTTGAACTAGCAAATTCCTCCCTAGTGTATTTCAATTAGATTTCCATTTACAATAGGAAAAAAAATCAATTTGCAGGCAATTTTGCAGTGCCATATCTATTGCATAAAGCAAAATACAGTAGTATCACTTTTTAGAGTTTTGAACAAACTCCTGTATAGAAAACACTTTGAAAACCACACACAAATAATGCTTCCTGGTGGATGACACACAAAGCATCCTTAAAGTCTCTAGTTGGTTCCCTCAATAATAAACTCACCAGTACTGAGAGTTCAGTGCATGCCAGCAAAATTCCCAAATTAATTCCTCCTGATGAACTCCCTCTTTTCTAATACATTTTTTCTCACTGCTATTATGTGGAAACAAGTTGACACTGGCTTCTTACACATAGGACTTATCTAGACTTCCAGTTGTTTGGCTGATAAGGAGATTACTAAGTAAACTTCTAACTCAGCCAGATGGTATGTGGCCACGTTTGACTTGAAATATTTTCAGCTTTTTGGATTAACGAAGAGCTGAAAATTTTCAGGATAGGAAGAACTTTCCCCTCCCTACTTTTCAGGGTAGTGTTTATTCAGAGAAATAAACTTTCGGACTTTTGATCGGCATCCCTGAAGAAAGCAGCATCTGATCAACTGCATGGAGAACATGAAATTTATTGAAAGTATAAACAGTAACTATGGCTGCAAAAGAAATTGATTTTTGTCCTTGCAAGGATGAGTAAACTGGAAAAGATTTTCACATAAACTAAATCTCTTACATAAATGTTCCTTCCCTAAAAACCTTTAGCACTAAGATAATGACCACCTTGTAAGTGATGGTTAGATGTAAGTCACTCTAAATAGCCTCTTAAACACCAAAGGAATACAGGGACAGAGGTTAACACTTAGAGTAAAATTTTAAAAATCTGCGTTTTTGAGTCTTGAGTTCTCCCAAAAGGGCCACTTGCATGACCTTGGGCCTCTCTTTAACCTCCCAGAGACTCTCTCTTCTTATATGCAAAATAAAAACCAAAACATCTACCTCCTGTGGCATATAATCCATAAGGTATTAGCTATCGTATAATCAATGACAACAGTTCTTGTTATTCAACTCGTTCATAAAAGAGCTATCTAACTATAAGTATCCCAGCAAATATTTCCTTTGCTTTTAGAAAATTTTAGCAATTACAGATTATATTCTAATAGCTACTACAAATCAGCCAGATTACACCATTAATTGGCAGTTCACTGTTCTGCACAAGTATGTCCTGAATTCTCAGGAAAGAAACATAACAATGTTTTGGTTTACTCAAGAGATATAAGAGACTGGTTACCAAAATAGCCCCAATTCTTCACCTGTTCTTGTAGCTATGGCCTTTGCCATGTGTCCTTGTATCTCTTTCTATCAAGAAGTAGAACGTATTTTCCAAATTCTTTTAATTGGGTTGACCTTCTGACCTTCTGAGCTAATAACTAACAGAAAGCAATGGAAGTGATGATTGGCCAAGCTCTAAGCTTAGGCCTCAAGAGACTTTGAACATTTCTGCTCCTTTGTTGCCCAGACACTGTCATTAAGAATATGCCTGGACTAGCCTACAGAAGATACCACATGAGGGAGAGCCCACTTGTATTAGTCAAAGCCCTTCTAGACAAGCTATACCAGTTAAGCCCCAAACATCTGAGAAAATCTAGATAGATCGTCATATCTGCCTATCCAACTCACGTCTGACTAAAGATGCACAAGTGAGCTTAGCTGATTACAGAAAGAATTGATTCATTTTACATGAACCATATGGGTCACAAGTCTCAAGGAGATCATAGCGTGGAAAGACAAAAGGCAAACAAATGAATTGCTGAGGTCAGAATAATGATTCATACAATTGAGGCAAAATACAAACTGTAATAGGCCACAGAAGAGAAAGAGGTCAAGGCATCCAGGGGGTTCAGAGATTTTTTCATGTGGTGCTATTAGAACCAAGTCTGGAAAGGAAGAAAAATGCTGGGAAATGTGGCCCATTTCCAAATTTAAGGACATTTTCTGACACTAAAAGCATTTTTTTGTGTGTGCGTGAGATGGAATCGCTGTGTCACCCAGGCTGGAGTGCAGTGGTGCAATCTCGGCTCACTGCAACCTCCGCCTCCTGGGTTCAAGCGATTCTCCTGCCTCAGCCTCCTGAGTAGCTGGGATTACAGGTACGTGCAACCACGCCTGGATAATTTTGTATTTTTAGTAGAGATGGAGTTTCACCATGTTGGTCAGGTTGGTTTCGAACTCCTGACCTCGTGATCCACCCGCCTCGGCTTCCCAAAGTGCTGGGATTACAGGTGTGAGCCACTGCACCTGGCCAACATTTTTACTTTACACTATGTGGAAGATTGGTGGTTAGAAGAGCTGTAAACAAATTTGCATTTTAGAAAGAATACTCTGGTGATGAGATGGGGGCATACTTAGAAAGGGAAGAAGCGGGGGAGCCTGCTGAAACCTATTCTAACAAGCATTCATCTAAAAATGTTGAAGTTCTCACCAAGAGAAACATTCAATGGGAATGAAGAGGAAGAGATGGATTTGAGAAATATCAGAAAATAGTGCAATTGTTGCTTTTAGTTGCAGTGCAGAAGCACCCAACAGAAAAGTGGCATATTGCAGAACTGATAAGTCTCTTACTCCAACTGCTTTTTAGAAACCCACTGTGTGATTTTGATGGAAGGATTTAGCCCCTGAACTTCTAGAGGATGTTGGCTTTTGAAAAGGAGAAAACACAGGAGTTCCTGTGGATCCAGGTGATTGGGTTTAGCTCTGTTTTGTAGCCTGCATTTAGACCCTTTGTAGATAAAATTGGGGCAGATCCTAGAAGCTGCACACACTCACAGGTGGCTTCCTGGGACACTGCCTGAATCTGGGTCTAAAGTTACAGCAACTTTTCAGGACATGTATGCTTTCCTGAAATCAGTGATGGAGTGACCATTTAATACTTTCTCTTTTGTCATTCTACCTTTCTTTTTTCCCCATTAGGCTCTAACTGAACCTTGTTTCAGAGTAGTGGGCTGTGAAAGTGGGCTAAGAAGATTGAAGAGCTCTATAAAGAAGGTATAAAATACGATTCTGACAATTTGATGCTGATCGTTTGTGATGTGTGAAATTAAATCCTTATCCAATGTGCCTAGACAATGCAATTAGTCTTGGGTGTCTATATTAAGAAACCTTTTTTGTTAAATCAATGCAGGAGCTCAGCTCAGAAATAGACCACCCTGGAGAAAAAGTTTTAAGATGTAAGTCATTCAGTGCCCCAGGTTTCCAAGAAAAAAGTAAAAATGTATGATGACAAAGAATAAGGGAAAGCTAAACGACTTGTCTGTTAAAGTATATACGCTGATTAATTATCTGTTTATACCTCTCATGCATTTATGTATTCATCTTTTAGCATATATTTTTGAGACCTACTATATAAAAGATTCTTGCATTAAGGATAATGCTGAACAAAACAGAGTAGGTCCTGTGTCACAGTGTTTACAATCTCCAGAGGAGTGAGGAGACAGATATTAAACAAATACAAATAGTTGCATAATTTTAAAGTGTAGCAAATATTAGGCAAAAGAAGCAACACAAATAGTCAACAGGAGAGCAAGGACTTTGTCTTTCTTTGTCACAGTTGTATGTGCCAGGCACTGCCCCAAGACATTGACATCTAGCAATTCATTTAATTTAATCCTTAAAATGGAGGCACTATTACTACTCCCATTTGAAGGATGAGAAAAATGAGATAAAAAGAGGTTAAGATTGGCTGGGCACAGTGGCTCACGCCTGTAATCCCGGCACTTTGGGAGGCTGAGGTGGGCGGATCATGACGTCAGGAGTTTGAGACCAACCTGACCAACATGGTGAAACCCCATCTCTACTAAAAATACAAAAATTAACCAGGTGTGGTGGTGTGTGCCTGTAATCCCAGCTACTCAGGAGGCTGAGGCAGGAGAATCGCTTAAACCTGGGAGGCAGAGGTTGCAGTGAGCCAAGATCGCGCCACTGCACTCCAACCTGGGCAACAGAGCGAGATTCCATCTCAAAAATAAATAATAATAATAATAATAATAATAATAATAATAATAATAATAATAAAAGAGGTTAAGGTTAACCAAGATCACCTACCAGTAAGTGGCCAAATAAGGAGTAGAAACCAGAGAGTGGGACTTATGGAGGGAATGTTCTCATCCACTGTGCTACCTGCCTATGCCCACATCGAAGAGCTCATCTCCACCTAGTAACCCAACCCTCTCCTCTATTGCAACACATCTTATTCATCCTTTGTAATACAGCCTATGGCAAGCCTTCTATGACACGTCATCAAAGCCCACAGAGACAGTTAATGTCTCTCCTGCATGTTTCTAAATACAAAAAGAATAGTGTCGTGGGGTTATGAGCATACACTCTCACGCTAGCCTACCTGACTTCAGTTTCTTGCCTCTGATGCGTAATGGGCTCAAAAGCTTAAGCACAGTACTAAACCTCTGTATGCCTCCATTACACGTTACCCTGCACCACCACCTAAACCACTGGTAGATTGCCACCATTCTGAAACAAAAGGGAACTTAGAAAGGAATCCTGTTACCATATTACAATGGTTTGGTATGTTCACAGCTAGATTCTCAACCTCTAAAAGAACACTGTAATACAGAAATATCTCAATAAATACTGTTCACTGAAGGAATGAAATCCTTTCATAACCTCTAAAAGAATACTGTAATACAGAAATATCTCAATAAATACTGTTCACTGAAGGAATGAAATCCTTTCATGATCTTTGCCATCCTAGTCATCCACTAATCTTTCCAATAACACTAGATGATTTGATATTATTTTAATATACTCTGGATTTTCATATATCTACATCATTGTATTATTATTTCTGCCTATTGTAAAGAACCACAATAAATCCCTTATTTAAGACCTGTATGGCCAGATCTACGGAAGAATTCATGGGGGCATGAGAGAAGTATTTTATAGAGATAAACCAATGTAATTGCATGTTATATAGTGTCCTCATCAGGGACTAAGACAACATTCTTTAGCCAAAATATATTAATATTTCTGGAGCACAACATATAAATATTCACACTAAGTAAAATTAATGAAGGCTTTAGCATGTATTTTAGGTTTTGTTACCATTTGAGCTATGAAAATGCTTTTAGTTTTAAGATTTTTGGACTTTGTAATTGCACACCAAGGGCCTGTATTATTGCTACCCGTGATCTCTATTGGTCTAAATTGTACCCATACCTCAAAAGTAAGATCTGATAACACCTTCCCAGAAAATCTGTCCTGTCTTCTGCACCTGAAATTAACTTTCCTCTCCTCTACTCTCACCATTCTCAATTCCTTTAACAGAGTGATGACATTTTCAGCCTTGTGCTTAATTTAGATATACATACACTTGTTCTCTTTTCTAGATGGAAAGATCCTTGAAGGTCAGAAAAATGGTTATTCACATTTTATCCTTTTCTGTATCTATGGCAGATATTATCCTTATCGTGAGTAGGACTTAACTGAACCTAAAGAATGGCTTGAACTAGGAGTGAAAAGGGAAGGACATTCCTGAAGACTATGAGAACTAGAGGGTAAAAAGACAATTTCATATATTGATTAGACCTATGCATATGGGCGCTTACTAGCATGTTGCATATGTTATCATTCAGGACCAATAATCTTAGGAGAACATTGA
This sequence comes from Homo sapiens, assembly GCF_000001405.40. Classification (NCBI taxonomy): domain Eukaryota; kingdom Metazoa; phylum Chordata; class Mammalia; order Primates; family Hominidae; genus Homo; species Homo sapiens. Next base: position 80,600,496 of record NC_000011.10, read on the forward strand.
GACTTAGAAGGGCTGAGTGACTTGTAGTTAAATAGTGGCAACATTTCAATTCAAACTTAAGATTGCTTGAGTTTAAACTCTGTGGTTTTCCCACTGTATTTTCCACTTACCAGAGTTGCTATAGTCTAAGGAAATTGAGGAATCTTAATGAATCTTGAAAGCTATCTGTAACTGTTGTTCAATTATAGACATGTATCTGGAAAAGGAGAGTTAAATAAAGAAACAATATTTTCCTTAGATGCAGTTGGGACTTGAGGGCCAAGTAAGTCCTCTCACAAGGTTAGGAGTGTCAGAGGAATTTATCAGCCTTATTGTTGCAAGGAAACTAAGGAGAATGAAGATAATATTTAGAAGGAGTCACTAGGTACAACAAGATTGCAAACTTAATTGTAATGCTGATCCCCTCTGCGCCATCTTATTAAACAGCCAAGAAAATCCTTTATCACAAAAGATTTCCAAGGATGTGACATTTTCCTCTCTCTAATTCTATTTCACTTAAATTATCACCCTGAAGATTTCAAAGGGGTGCTCTCGGCAGTCTGATAGATTGAAGCCCCTCTCTAACTAAAGGAAACATTGATTGTGTAAAAAGGAAAAATACCAGAGACATCCCCGGTAGATCCTGGTGAAACCATGTACTCATATGAGACTTCTTTTTTTTGTATTTGTTATCACTTTGAAAATGACAAAGGAGCAATAAAATAATTAATTAAGTTCTGGAATAACATCTTGAGGTATGATTATAATCAGGAAAGCAATTGTGAAAATGGCATTGTAAGTCTCGATTCCCATTCTCTTGTGTGACTTGGCCCTGAAATGTACTCAGGACACAAAGGAGAGCTGATATTTTTGTCGAGTGAAGCTGAAAACTCAACCTGGGCTGTGAAAATTAAAGCTGGTTGTTGCTGTCTCTAAAATCTGTAATAAAATCTCACAATTAGTATCCACAAGTACTGAATCCTTTAGATAATTTTACATACCTTTATGTGTAAATGTATGTGTATATATATGCATTTTTAATGTCGTGTAGAACAAACAGGTAAATAGAGTTGGTTTTTCTATGGTTTTGGTAGCTCTGAAAGCTTAGGTTGGCTCAAGATGTATTTGAATCAGTTTATCCATACCTTTTGGTAGAGTCCAAACTGTTTAACCTTGTGGCAAGGAGCTCTGCCTCCTGCTTACCCTTTAACCCCTCTTCCCCTCATACAAGACACTTTATAATATTCTTTTATTTCCTGTAATGTGATATTCTCCCTCCCACTGCAGTAGGTTTGCATTTTCTTCCCTTTCTGCCTTCAATATTCTTCTCAATCATCCCATGCACTCTAGGTCTTAGCAGCTTCCACAGTACTTCTGCACAGACAGCTTCCCTGGCACCTCTTCCGGGCTGAAGCCATTGCAGTGCATCTCTGTATGGTGCCTTTTCTAACTCTGCTCACATCTACAATCACTTGGTTTCTGATTGTCTTCCAATTCAACTGTGAGCTCTGGGAGGGTAGAGCTGAGGTTTGGTTTGTTAAAGCATAGTGTCTGATGTATACTAAGATCTTAGTAAATATTTGTTGAAAAAAATCAACGGATAAAAAAATCAATATGTCCAAAGGAAGTCATGATTGAAAATGGTTGATCATTTTAAATGAGCAACTTTTCTATTGCCTGTTTCCAAAACTCCAAGGGCAAAGCAAATGTGCAATTTTTCATCTCCTTGAGCTTAACTCTGAGCACCACGTGTGGCATGTAAGTAGTTGCTAAGCTGCTGTTGTTTAAATTAATGGGGCAACAGGGCTGAGTGGGAAGGGCTAAACTTGACAGGCGGGCTTATCTAGCTCAATTCCTGAGTGCCTCATTTAGTAGCTTAGGGACTTTATTTCTCAGATTCCTGTCTTATAAAATTAGTAATAGTTAACAATTATAGGTTAAATAGATCTATTTTCTGCATGATGCTTTATTTTGTTTCAAAGAAAAAGATAAATGAAAAATTGATAGTACAGTATTAGTACCTCATAGCTATTCAGTATTGTGACTTTTATTATTATGCTATGTGAAGCAAGACAAACAAAGAATTAAATCAGATGTAACTCATAGCCACAAGAAACTTCTAATCCAGGGAATAAAACTAACACATAAAGACCAGGTTGCAGAAAGGTTTGCAAAGAATACTGTTGAGGTTCACACTGTATATGAAAATTCTTTTGAGAGGACACAGTTTCTATGGGGGTAAAAAGGGGTCACAACAAAGTTAGAACCTTAATTTTATTAGCAACTGTGAGTTATTGGGAAAAAATTCAACTTTGTTTTTTTTTTTTTTTTTGAATCAGAGTCTCCCTCTGTTACGAGGCTGGAATGTAGTGGCATGATCTCGGCCCACTGCAACCTCCACCTCCCGGGTTCCAGTGATTCTTCTGCCTCAGCCTCCCAAGTAGCTGGGACTACAGGGGAGTGCCACCACACCCAGCTAATTTTTGTATTTTTAGTAGAGATGGGGTTTAGTAGAGATGTTAGCCAGGATGGTCTCTATCTCCTGACCTCATGATCTGCCCGCCTCAGCCTCCCAAAGTGCTGGGATTACAGGTGTGAGCCACTGTGCCTGGCCTTCATTCAACTGTAATAAAGGTCAATTTCCTCAGCTGAGAACTTGGAACATAATTACTCCACAGGTTTATAGCATGGTTGAAATACAATAATGCAAGTGAGGGCATCTAACGTAAGTGCACGAATATTCCAGCACTGTTAGATGCCAGGTGCCCTGAATTTGATATTCAGGTCTGGAATATGATTAATGCTTAACAGAGTTTTGCATGAATAAACAAAAAACAATGTGTAAAAGAAGATTTTCAGCTTGAGCTTGAAGGATGAGGTGATTTAGATTGGAGAGTTGTGGGGCAGGATGCAGGTGATATTACATTCCAAAGAGGACAAGGTATCAGTAAACGGGAAGAGGCAGGAAATCTCATGGCATGGTGGGAGGTGATAAAGTGACTTGTCCAAGGGCACATAGCTAGTCAGTGGTAGATCAGGGTCTTTTCCATTTTACCACATGATCTCATAAATAGGGCCACAGATGATGTTTGAGATGGCTTGAGTTTCAGAAAGATTATTTGGGTGGCTGTTTGTAAGGAATCCTGGAAAGTGAACTTGAGTTCCTGCCATGTGCCAGGTGCTGAGCTAGGATGCCAAGTGCATGCACATAGGTCATTCTTGTAGAGAGCTAGGGTGTTGTCACATAGCTGAGGCAATAAAATAATTTAGGTCTTCGCGGAAGGTAAGAAGACTGTAATCCTGCTGATAATGATGGCAAACAATCATATAGTGCTTAGTATTAAAATTCCCCAATATTTAACCTATACAGAAGAGCAATTTTCTATAGTTCAAACTGATACATGCCAGGAATTATTATATATGCTTTTAAAAAGCACTCATTAAATCCTCACAGCAACTTAGTCAGAGAAGAAGTATTATTATTATCATTTTGTGGCAAAGAAATTAAAGGACATTTCAAAAGATAGTTAGGACTATTTAACCAGAGCTCAAGAAAGAGGTTCCATCTACAGATAAAATTTAAAATGTCATGGGTATCAACAAAAGAGCTGAAGCATGAGGACAGATGAGATTACAATGGGTCTCAAAAAGAGCATGGACAGGATAGGTTTAGAAATGTCAGGGAAAGGTTGCACTTTATTAGATGGGACATACTTATTCTAAAAAGTATCCAGTATTGATTTGAAATTTACATATGCTCTATATTTTAGTTTGCTAAGTATGGTAATCCTCCCTATGCGAGTAAACAGCAATGTATTACTTGATAAAAATATGGAATCATTCCTATGTTGGGTAACTTGCCCAAGACTGACAGATATTCATTTGTTGTCAGAAGGTCCAGATTTTACCTCTCGCTCTGTCCCTTTCCATACCACATTTTTAAGTACTTTTTATCATACATTTATTGAAAGTGACCTTGAAAATATGTCTGTAAGATAAAAGAAACTAACGCGCTCCTGTGCATATACTATACTGCACACCTGGAAGCATAGTAAGTTGATGAAGCCCGATTTGCGTCCAAGCCAAAAAATTATTTTATGTCTTTGGTGTTCAGCCTTTCACAACATTATATACATCAGACAGGATGATATTTTGAGATTTTAAAGGGAGGAGATTTGTCATGCAAGCTGGCAGATGCGGCTGCTGAAGAATCTAAGTCTCCCAAATCTCCATTCCTATCTCTATCATGGGGAAAAAAAAATCACTCTCTCATTTGTTCGATCTATATACCTGTATTAGTCCATTCTCATGCTGCTATGAAGAAATACCCAAGACTAGGTAATTTATAAAGAAAAGAGGTTTAATTGACTGACAATTCCTCATGGCTGGGGAGGCCTCAGGAAACTTACAATCATGGCAGAAGGCATCTCTTCACAGGGTGGCAGGAGAAAGAATGAGTGTTGAGTGAAGGGGGAAACGCCTTATAAAACAGTCAGATCTCGTTAGAACTCACTCACTACCACAAGAACAGCAGGGGGAAAACCGCCCCCGTGATTCAATTATCTTTACCCTGTCCCCCGTTGACAGGTGGAGATTATGGGAACTACAATTCAAGATGAGATTTGGGTTGGGACACAGACAAACCATCAATACCCTTTACGCTTATTCTGTTCTAGCTCTGTAAACCGCTGGAGAGTCAGGGATAGGCAAGCTAAAGACTTTAAGAGCTAACAATCTGATAGGGATAGATAAGCCTTATAGGGTTGCATGAAAATCAATTACAATTATGAATATGTTTTGTCAAATGTAAGAGACTGCACAAATATAATTCTTTTGTAAATTTTCAGTACCTTCCTATATGATCTTATTTTTTACAAACTTTTCCTTATCCTACTTTTTGTATAGGACAACCTTCTATAGCATACATGTATCCAGATTATCTTGGATCCTTGATGTTATTACTTACATGGAATAAAGTTTAAACTTTCTTGGGTGGCAGAAAAAGCCACTCATAAACGGAACTAATCTTTATTTTTAGACTCAGCTGCTATCCTGCCTTTGAACTGGCTTCTGCCTTTCCCTCCTATTCCATTCTTAATGAGATCCTTTTCATTCTTTAAAGCCCATTTCAATTGTCTTCTAACCTATAAACCCCTTCCTCAGTCCTTCTAGTAAAAAGTAATTGATTCTCTCACACTTCTTCTACATACCATGCTATTGCATTTTATACAGCATTATAATAATATCTTTATGTATCTTTCTTTCTCAGTATACTAAAAACACTTTATAAGTGTAGCACATATTTTAATACCCAAGGAACTATTACAGAGGCTGGCTCAAAACATTTTTCAATTAATGTTCCCTGAATTTACTAGAGTTAGATCTACATATGTATACTACTACAAACATATGCATATAATAAGTTCAAATAAGTAGGCAAATTATACTTAATAAATTATATACATATTTGTGTGCAAGTATCTGTAAATATTTTATAAGCATATGTGATATATATTCTATAACATAATACACGCTGGGGAAATATATGTTGAATTGAATGCATGAGAATATCTTGATCACAGTTAACATTTTTTGACTATGCCCTATGTACCGAACTCTTTGCTAAGCGCTTCACATGAATTCTCATTTCCTTGGCATACCGACGAACCCTAAGATAGGTACTCTCCTTATCCTATATTTGCAAAGAAGGAAACCTAGACTTAAAATCATGAAGTAAATTGCCCATAATTCTGTATTTATTGAGTCAGATATTTGAATTTTAAATCTAAATGTATCTGACTCTAAAGTTTTTGTTCTTTCTAGTAATATTCCGTGGATAGATTCATACATACATATATACACACATAGATAGTACATAGAGCAAGCTATGGAGACATGTCCATATGCCACATACAATAGAGTTATAGGTCTGTATACATATAATATCAACTCTTGTCTTTTGAATATGAACATAATGAGAGCATATACAATTATACAAAATACACATATGTGGTATATATTTTACATTTATATAGAATAAACATTCGTTTTTCTCTGACAAGTACATGCTTTGTTCACAGACCTCATATTTTGCTATGATAAAATAGACTGGGTGAATCAATCAGCAAATATGTATATGCAATTTCTAATATATTTTCTACATATATATATATATAACTTTATTTATCTTTTTAAAGGCTGCACATAGAAGATATAAAATGGATTTTCCAGGTTAAAAAATCTGTAGCAACTCTCCATCAGTATGCTTGCTAGCCACAGCTGCCATCCCCATGTGGTGGAGAGGTGTGGACCACCATCAGCAAGTGTTAATTTGTCAGTCTAGTTGGGACAAGTATACTATTATAAAGCTTTGTTCTCTGGAAATATATACAATCACAGCTGGAATTCAGGCACTTGCTGTCACCACAAAAGAAAGGATTTGCAACAAAAGTGTCTTTGTGGTTTTGGTTCTTTTTATGCTGCCCCTTGCTTTTTTCCTCAGCCTGTGAGTCAGTTACACTTGTATCTATTCTTTCAGATCTGCTTCCTTAGCAAGGTATATATGCTAACATAGTACTTTCTACTCCTCAATCTCCTTTGCCCTCTTTGCATTTAAGTAAGACTTTTAAAATTCCAGGATCCCTCTGAAGCAAGAAAAAAATCACTGCTGCCCTTTCCCCAGAAGGGCTGCCAAGTCCAAAGAACATGAAGTGTAATCAGGATTTTGCTACTTGCTATTGGGTGACCTGGGCAAGTCCTTCCCTTCCTCCCTCCCTCCCTCCCTTCCTCTCTGTTTTTTCTTTCCTTTCCTTTTCTTTTTTCTTTCTCTCTCTTTCTTCTTTCTTTCTTCCTTGTTTCTTTTTCTTTCTTTCTTTCTTTCTTTCTTTCTTTCTTTCTTTCTTTCTTTCTTTCTTTCTTCTCTTTCTTTCCTTCCTTCCTTCTCTTTCTTTATCTCTCTCTCTCTTTCTCTTTCCTTTCTTTTCCTTTTTTTTTTCCTTTTCATTTACAACAGCCTCAACCCCCTTCCCCCCGTCCCCCAAGGCTCAAGCAACCTTCTTGCCTCAGTCTCCCAAGTAAATGGGACTACAGGCACACATCTCCATGCCTGGCTAATTCTTTAAAAAATTTTGTAGAGATGCGGTCTCACTATGTTGCCCAGGCTTATCTCAAACACCTAAGCTCAAGTGATCCTCCTGCCTCAGCCTTCCAAAGTGCTGGGATTATAAACATGGGCCACCACTCCCCACCTAAGCAAGTTTCTGACTCCCTATGTGCCTCAGTTTTCCATCCCCAAAATGGAAATCATAGCACTTACATGTTGGGCTTTCTATGAGGATTACAGGAGATTGTTTATATCTGAATCATGAAACAAGTACAATGTGTTCTAGATAACTCAGTAAAGTGAAAGGAATAAATTAAAGCAGCAACAGTGAAGAGACTAGAAAGGACTGTCAGTGGGTAGATTCCACAAACTGTAGGATCAGGGAGCATGGGTGAACCTCTGCTGGTGAACATAACAAACTAGGGGGGAGAACAAAGTACTGGGAAGTGGACCACTATGAAAGAGTGGATTGCCTGAAAGAGCTGAAAAAGGCAGTTGTAAAGCATGTAAAACAGCAGTAGTCCAAATTAGAATTAGAAATCCAAAAATATGTTTTCAAAAAGTTGAAACAAATAGAGTCCAAGCAACACAATGACTGAAGAGTTAGATAATGTTAGTGACGTGGTAAATTAGGCAAATGCTCCTTCCACTGAAAAATAATTAAAAACTTCTATACAATGTTATAATAAAAGACATTTATGCAGTGTTTACTATGTGTCCAACTATGTGAAGTCCTTTGTACACATTTCATCTAACCCTCCTGACAATACTACATATTTGGGCTGCTCCTGCCCACATTTAAAATATGAAGAAGCTGAAGCACAGAGTTCCTCAAGGGCACGAAGTTAACCTCACGGTCAGGACAAGAACCCATTGTAATTCACCCCAGAGCCCACAGTCTACATCCCAGTGGTGTATTTCTCCCACAAAGGACATGAGTTACAGTTGAAGCAGATGCAATATGTCATGATTTTTAGCTATTGGTGGAAGATAATAAAAGATAAACCTTTGACCGAGATAGGAAGAACTTTTTTTAAGTGGCAAAAGCAGAGTAATAGTCAACGGAAAAAGAAGAAAATAAAATGAAAGCACAACTACTCGGCTTGACAGTGAGGGACGTTTATGTTGTCAAATAAGAAATGTTTATTGGTTTTTATTTTTTATGTCAATATAAGGACACAAGATAGAAAATACAAATGTGTTTACCAAGATACAGATGTCTTCAGCCTTGATGGCTTAAAAGAAAAGGCACTGCTCCCAGAAGACTAGAGGAAGCTAGAAGGTGAGGATGAGGGATGAGGTACATACATCGATGGAGATTCATGAGATGCTATTTAAAGCTAAATAAACAAGAAGGAAAGTTGAATTGTTCTATTTATGTAAAGACAAACACTATGCAAAAAATTTTTCTTGTAAAAATTAAGTGGGATAATAGAGTTATGAAAATTTGGCTAGTCTTCTCACAGAAAAAACTGATAGATGTAATTAAATTAAATCAAGAAAAGCCTGTATAATTGTATCAATTTAGATTCAGAATTGTAATTAGCAGACTTCTTGAAGTAAACCAGGGTCAGGGAGAAAGCACAGATAGCAGTGGGGCCAGAGCACTCTTACTTTCCTGTATAAGCTTCACAGCATTCATGTGTGTGCGTTTGTGTAAGAGAGTGAGTGTATGTGTATATCCACACTTATAGACATACATATCCCACAGCTATATTTCTCCTCGTAACGACAGCCAGGAATGAGAGTCCCTTAAGCAAACTGGACATTCCCTGCAGGGTTAAAAAAAATCCCCAGGTGAAAATTATCATCATCAAAGGCTATGGATCCTTCCTAGGAGCTGACACCAACCTACTAGTGGATTAAAAGAATTAACAAGTGCCTTGCCAATTCACACTGGATACTATTTCTCTGTAAGGTCCCCTCCCCTCCCCTCCCCTTCCCACCCTTCCCTTCTCTTCCCTCACCTCCTTCCTTTTTTCTTTTCCCACTCCTTCTCTTTCTCCCTCTGTTTTTTTCTCTCTCTTCTTTCAACTCCAGTGTATTCCTATATATCCTACCAATGCTTCTTCCGTTTTAGCATCATGAGTATTTACAGTCCAAATTAGAAAAACAACCAGCTTCACTTTGCCAAAAGTCTAAGATGTTAGGAGCTACTACTCTTGACAAAATGAGAGTTTGCCAGCCATCTTTCATAGCTGGGTTTAAAACCTATTCTTCCACTTCCTCCTTTGTGTAGTCTTAAGTGAATACACCTCATTGTCTCAGTTTCCACGTCTGTAAAATGGAAGTATTAATACCTCAAACTATTATTGAGAGATTAAATGTGTCAATACTGTTCACCACAGGACACTCACGTGGTGCTAGGCATAATACCCTATGTGCAATATCTTACTACAGCCATCACAATAGCTTCACAAAGACCCCTGTGTGATGGATATTACCATCCATTCTATGGATGAGTCTATGGAAGCTCATAATAGTTAAGGAACAGTTCTAAGTAGCCAAATCTGAATTTGAACCCAGGCCTTTTTGCGTGATTGCTCCCACCACACTATTTATGCTATTTCACTTTGCAGAGGGGACATCCAGGTATAATGCCATGGTACCACCTCCCTCCACTGAACCCAAGCTCAGTTCTGCCCATGGGAAAGTGATGGAGTGACTATTCAGAATCTCATAGTTATGGCCTGTAGACAGCTAAGTTCATTCAGAAAACACAATAAAACTCCACCAATAGTGCTCTTCTGACTGAAGACAAGAAGTTAACCAGAAAGTAGTGGCTTTGACACAAATCTTCTCAGCTGTGGCAAATTATGAACTTGATTAGATTTTATTTAAAATTCTCATTTCCACTGATAGGATTTTTCCTAAGACTATAATATTTTTATCTCTAGCCAAACAACACAGAAGAAAGAAAATATATGGTAGGGAAATTATAGGCTTTTAACTTTGTCAGGAGATTCCTGAGTTATCCACAAATCCTCCCCCTTTCTCCACTCATCCACTTAGCCTTAAAAGTTGCTCCTCCTCTGTTCTGAACCTTTCCAGAATCTATGATCTTCTCACACACGCAGAGTAATTGTTCAGTTCTCCAAACAAACTGCAGCTACTATGTGCCTCTCCCTGTCTCTCACTCAAGCCTCTTCAGTTCATTTGTTATTGACGCTCAAGTGAGTTTTCTAAAAGGCAAACCTGACCATATCACTCCTCTGCGTGCAAGCCCTTGACAGGTCCAGTTGCTAATATCATTTAAAGCAAATTTCTTACGATGGCGGAAGAGAACTCCGGGTTTTGTCTTCAACATATTTTTTTCGGCCTACTTCACACTTCTAACCTTAACGTACAACATATAAACAGTATTCAACTACATGTGGTTCCCAGGACATGTGAGGTGGTTTCACATCTTCATCACTTGGCACATACTCCAATTTCCCTGGAATATATAGTTCACTTTGCTCAGCTTTGCATACTGTTATTCATGTTTCATCATCTATCTTAAATACCACTCATGTAACTTTCCCAGAAGAATCACACAATATTTCCTTTATGTGAGTATCTCACTTGGTCTTATAGCACTTACAGTAATTATTCATTGTAATTATTTGCTTGCACATTTATTACTCCGAGGAGAGTGAACTCCTTGGGACAGAGATAATATCTTAGGTATTTTTGTACCCCTGACACCTAGGACAGGGTCAAGCACAGACTAGATCTCACCAGTAAATATCTTGGGCATGAATAAATATTTAGGAGTAGGAAATTATGTCTGACATATGGTCAGATTATTGATTATGTGTGTGTAATGTATCAGATTATGTGATAAGCATTGGGATAGAACTTTGAACCAGACAACCATAATCTCAAATTTCACTGAGCTCACTTATATGCTAAAACTCTCATGAAAGTGCACACATCAAGAATCACCCTTCAGATGATAGTTTAGGTAAATTTACAGAAGCAACAGATCAGAAGTAAATACATAACAGAACAAATTTTACCCTATGTTACAATATTTTCCCCTATTTATAAAGTAGTACAGGCACAATATAAACAACCTATATATCTGCTGCTCTCTAGAAGATCCAGAGTGGCTTTAAAAGTTTTATTTCAGCTGGGCGCGGTGGCTCACACCTGTAATCCCAGAACTTTGGGAGGCCGAGGTGGGTGGATCATGAGGTCAAGAGTTCAAGACCAGCCTGGCCAAGATGGTGAAACCCCATCTCTGCTAAAAATACAAAAAAAAAAAAAAAATTTAGCCGGGCATGGTGGCAGGCGCATGTAATCCCAGCTACTCGAGAGGCTGAGGCAGATAATCGCTTGAACCTGGGAGGTAGAGGTTGCAGTGAGCCGAGATCACGCCACTACACTCCAGCCTAGGCAACAGAGTGGGACTTAGTCTCAAAAAAAAAAAAAAGTTTTATTTCTTAACTTGGGTGGTGGTTACAAGGATATTCACCTTGTGATAATTCATTAAGCTGTACATTAGGTCTGCTTTTTAAAAATATCTGTGATATCTATTTACACTAACATATTAAAAAATGAAAGGGAAAATTTTTTAAAAGCACAAACAAAAACAAAAATCCCCAAATTGTGAGTGGTTAATTACATTAAATATTTTACAGAAGACAAATAGTAGAAAATAAATCAAAATATAAAAACAAACTTACAGAGGTGCCTCCAACCATTTTCATGTCTGGAGGCACATGATAACCTTTACAAGCACATGGAGATGAAAAGATAGTACTATAGTCTGGAGTTCCAGTCCTACCCATGCTGCCCAGCTGACCAAGGACAGAGGGCTAATTCCTTAAACCACCTTTGAAACATTGGTGACACAGTAGTTAAAGCTATTTCTTCATGAGACCAAGGGCCAGGCAAGAAATAAAGTCTGGGATTGCCAGCTGGGGGGAACTTTCACTAATCGTGTGACTTTTCTTTTTTTTTCTTTATTTTTTTTTTCTGTAGAGGCAAGTGTAGAAATACTGTTCTTATTCAGAACCACAAGGCACATCCTTCTGCTGAGCAATCAAAACTCAGGCTCATTTCCATTTCAAACTGTTTCTTTATTCCTTGAATTTGCCCTGTCTGATTTTCTAAGAGTCTTGTATTTCTTATTATTCAAATAATTTGGCAGCAGATACAAGTAGAATTCTGCACTGGTTGCTAGTAAGGGACTAGAATTGAAAAGAGAGGCTGCGGAATTAGAGAGAGGATAAAGAAGCATCAAAAAATGGGCTCATGAGTAAAAGGTTTCAGAGAAGATGGAGTTAAGAGACCAGATGAAGATTTTTAAGAAATAAATAACAAAGAATAGAGAGTAACAAGAGTGAAGAAAGGAGGGAGGAAGAAGGAGAGAGAGCAGGAGAGGGAAGGAAGAAAAGAAATGAAAAGTTAAGAAAACAGTGCAAAGACTGTTTCTCTACAACTGTAGGGATGTTGATAGTCCAGCTCCAGAGGATGATACAGATGTGGGTTCACATTCCAGCTTTTCCATTTGCTGCTTCTGTTACCTTGGAAAAATTACTCAATCTGTCTAATCCTTGGTTTCCATCTGAAGATTGGATATAGCTATAATATTTTACTATATTTTTGTTGATACTAAAAGTAATGGCAGCCAGGCACGGTGGCTCACAACTGTAATCCCAGCAATTTAGGAGGTTGAGACAGGTGCATCACTTGAGGCCAGGATTTTGAGACCAGCCTGGCCAACACGGTGAAACCACATCTCTACTAAAAATACAAAACTTTTTGGACTACAAAACCCAGCTACTTGGGAGGCTGAGGCAAGAGAATCACTTGAAGCTGGGAGGCAGAGGGTGCAGTGAGCAGAGATTGGGCCTGAGTGACTGAGCAAGAATCTGTCTCAAAAACAAACAAACAAACAAAAAATAAATAAATAAATGAATAAAAGTAATGGCATGTGTACAAGGCTTAATCCAGTACATTTAAGACATGTCCGTTCCTTTTACTTTATTTCCTCATTAAAAATATTGACAAGAACCTAACTTATAGCAATTACTCAAAAAATGTATAAATAATGAGATAAGTGAATGAATAAAAAAGATGAATGTATATATGCAGGAATCCAAAAGTATAATCTTAGTTGACTATTCGGCTCATTTAAAGGAGTGAGAAGAAGATGGAAAACCCCAATGTCTAGATGTCTTTCTTTTTCAGGCCTATACAAAGCACAGGGAGAGCATGGACTAATATATCTCAGCTATAATTGAGTTTAGCCAGATGTACCAGCTGTCTTCTCTCATCTTCCCCTGGGGCTACAGCTTTTATCAAGTGATTAGAGTTTGACTGAGTTCGTTTCTTTCAAGTCATGGATAAGAAAGCCAGGGTTTTGAAAGGTGATGGAAGGCTTTTATGGTAAGTTGCACTGGGTCCCAAAAACACTCCCCTTTAAGTGTGGACTGTTTCCTCTCATACCAGTGGATGAAGCCAAATAGTGTCTTTTTCTAAAAGTGTTGGTATCTATAGAGCTATATTTAGAAGAAACCATATAAGTTATCTAGAATTCCAGGCAAATATTTAATCTTGACATCCTGTTAGAACCACCTGAGTAACTTTCTAGACGATACTTATACTTAAGTCATAGCTACCCTTTTACCTTCAATAATTGAATTAAAATTTCTGAGGGTTTGGCTTACGCATAAGTATTTTAATAGATTACTAAGTGATTTTCTAAACTTTTTACATAAACTTCTTTAGCCACACACAAAAATGGACTGAATACTAGAATATCTCTTTACTTAGCTTCGACAGTTGTTGACATTTTACCAGTCTTGTTCATCTCTCACTACATTTTAAAAAAATGCTATTTTAAACCAAATCTAAGGAATGATATAAATGAACACGAGTATTTCAGTATGTATCACTTACTGAAAATGAATTCTTTTTTTTTTTTTTTTTTGCTTCTTATGTCTCTTTTATTTATTTTTTCTCATCAGCTTTTATGTTCAAGGGGTGCTTTTGCCATGAGTAAATTGCACATGGTGGGGGTTTGATATACAGATAATTTTGTTATCCAGTTAATGAGCATAATACCCAATAGTTAGTTTTTTCAATCCTTACCCTCCTCGCACCCTCCACCCGTAAGGGGGCCCTGGTGGTTTTTTTTCCTTTCTTTGTGTCCATGTGTGCTCAATGCTTAGCTCCACTTATAAATGAGAACACGTCGTATTTGGCTTTCTGTTTCTGCTTAATTTGCTTAGGAAAATGGCCTTCAGCTTCATCCATGTTGTTGTAAAGACATAATCTCATTCTTTTTTATGGCTGCATAGTATTTCATCGTATATATGTACCACATTTTTTAAGGTGTAGTTATCATGCCATGTACAATTTTACAAAATTAACAATAGTGATAAGGTGATTCCAACACACAGCCAAGTTTGAGATACACAGCTTGAGCCTAGCCTTCTCATTTTATTGATGAAGCACTGAGACCCTGAGAAGTCAGTCAAGTGATATGATGTAGGTGATACATCTAGAATTCGTATTTAGGTTTCCCAACTCAAGACTTCATTGCTGAAGAAATAGCAGCAATCCAAGGAGGAAAAAAGTGCTCAAATGATTTTAAAGTTAGAACAAGGGTATCAAGAATATCCTAACAAGGGGCGTACCAAAGAAAATGGCAAGGATGGGAATATCATAAAATGTGTATCAGGGCAGGGTCATAAGGTGTAAATGAGACTTCTATTTGAACCCTGTCCTACCCTCTACCTCAAATCATATAATCTTACAATGTTTTCTTAACTACCCTGATCATCAGTTTCCTTATCTGTGTAGTGGACATAATATTTGGCTTCATTTCGTGCTTTGAAGATAACATGTGATTAGTGGAACATGATATGCACTTAATAACATTTAGGATGTGTGCTGTGGCTCCAAGCAGGGCAGCGTACCTGGATGAAAATCTAGGCCTCTGTTGAATACTCCCAGTCTCTTTTTTACCACTGCTCAATAAGTTGTTTGGCTATTGCTCCCAGGATAAAATAAAAATTAGATAACAGAATATTTGTCAAAAGTGTTTTTCTAAAATGCACCTTCAATCTAAAAATAAACTACGAAGAAGTGTGAAGATACCTTGGAGAAGATGGAGTATTGAGGATTTTTTTGTTATGCAGTCAGTAACTGAGGCAAAAGTCAGATTCCAAAAATGAAATAAGATTCCAGAATTTCTAGTTGAAATAACCAAACACAAATATTGCTAATAGCTGTGTATTAGCACACATATTAAAATGCTAGCTTGGATTTGGCCATTGAATGCAACCATTTGCTTACTGAAGATCAATCTTTAGTCTTAGCTTTGTTTATTATCAGTCTTGGTGTAGTAATTGTATTAGGAAAATTATATAACCTCTCCAAATTTCAGTTTTCTCATATGCAATTAGAACAGTGATAACCATCACATAACTAACTCTAAGGTTTTTTAAAGACCATGCATATTAAGTGCTTGGCACAGTAACTTCTCTTTTGTAAGCATCTAGTAATCAGTAATTATCACTATTATTTAGACACTATGTCCTTTATGGACATAGTGACTTCTAAGTTGAGTACCTGACATAACTCAAAGTCTAATGGAAAGATCATAGCACTGGGAGCTCATAGTCTTATCTCTGACACTAGCTTGCCTGTGATCATAGTGGCACCAGTTGCTTCTAACACAGTTTCAGCATCTCTCAGGACAGAAAGATTGTTTTTGCTTTGCAGACCTCACTGGACGAGAGAGATAACAGTTGTAAAGTACAGTTCAAATACAAGATATAATCAACAACAGAGCATATGCAATTAAATGATTTAGAGCTGTAGAATTAGAAGAAAATTTCAAAATCATTTCCACAGATCTTTTCTTTTGTCCAAGAGGGCTCATCCCTCTTGTCTTTTCATAGTTTAAGGCTCATAAGGATAGGTGCTGCTTCTGTTAGATGCCCTCCTGGCTATTGTTCTCTTTTCACTATATCCAGCCTCTGCCAGGTTCTACCAGGGGTTTCTTCTTTTTCAGGATCATTCCATAATGGTCTGTGCAAATTAAGTGTAATATGTTAGCGACATGACATAATTGATTTATGTGTTCATCTCTCTTGTCTAACAGGTACAAGCCCTTAGAGGGTAGGAATAGTAATATGAAGATACGATGTCATGTAGCATTTAACAACTCGAGCTCTCTAGCCAGATTGTTTAGGTTCAAATCCTAGCTCCACCATTTTATATTCTCTAGGCCCTAGTTTCCTCACCTGAAAATAGGAATAATAAGAGTCCTACCCCATAGGGTTCTTGTGAGAATTTGATAGTTTAATATGAATGTAAAGCATGTGAAACTGTGGCTGATGTAGTAGACTGCTTTACAAAGATTAGCTTTTTATTTTTAATTGTGTTATTAATATTCTTTTTGATTGACAAATCATAACTGTACATGTTTATGGGATATAATGTGAGGTTTTGATACATGTATACAAGGCAGAATAGTTAAGCTAAATTAACATATTTATCACCTTGTTTATCTATCATTTTTATGGTGAGACATTTGAAATTTACTTAGTTATTTTGAAATATATAATACTTTATTATTGACTGTACCAACTCTGTTGTGCAATAAATCTCAAAAGTTTATTCCTTTTGTCTATTTGAAACTTTGCATCCTTAGATCAAAACTCTTCATTACCTTTCTTCCTTAAGCTGCAGCCTCTGGTAACCACCATTCTACTCTCTACTTCTATGATTCAACTTTATTAGATTTCCCATATAATTGAGATTATGCAGTATTTGTTTTTCTGTACCTGGCTTATTTCAGTTAGCATAATGTCCTCCAGATTCATCCATGTTGTCACAAATTGCAGTATTGTCATCTTTTTCTAAGACTAAATAGTATTATGTTGTGTATGTATGCCACATTTTCTTTTTTTCTTTCTTTCTTTTTTTTTTTTTTTTTTTTTTTTTTGTTTTTGAGATGAAGTCTCACTCTGTCGTCCAGACTGGAGTGCAGTGGCATGATCTTGGCTCACTGCAAACTCCGTCTCCCAGGTTCAAGTGATTCTCCTGCCTCAGCCTCCCAAGTAGCTGGGATTACAGGTGCAAGCCCCAATGCCCACCTAATTTTTTTATTTTTGTTAGTAGAGACGGGGCTTCACCACATTGGCCAGGCTGGTCTCGAACTCCTGACCTCATGATCCACCCGCCTCAGCCTCTCAAAGTGCTGGGATTACAGGCGTGAGCCGTTGCGCCTGGCCTATATGCCACATTTTCTTTGTCAATTCATCTGTTGATAGACAGCCAAATTTTATATCTTGACTATTGTGAGCAATGCTGCAATGAACAGGGGCTTGCAGATATCCCTTTGACATGTTGATTTAAGTTTCTTTGGATATATAGTCAACACTGGAACCCCAAAAGTATAGGCAACAAAACCATAAATAGACAAATAGCATCAAATTAAAAGGCTTCTGCGCAGAAAAAAAAAAAGTGAAGAGACAACTCAGAGAAAGGGAGAAAATATTTGTAAGTCATACATCTGATAAGGGCTTAAAAGCCAAAATATATAAAGAACTCAAAACAACTCAATAGCAAGAAAACATACAACCCAATTAAAATATGGGCAAAGGACCCGTACAGACTCTTCTCAAATGAAAGTTAGCTTTTAGAATAACATATACTAAATATCCAGGTGTTCATCATGCCCCTTAAAGGGTCTGACAAATGGAGAAACTTGGCAAATGTTAACTCCTTCTTCCAAAAAGTAGAAAGTCTCTTCAGCTCAATCACTAACATGACAAAAATCTCCAAGCTGTCTATGAGCTTAAGACCAGATATCAAAAGAAATCCTCTGTACCACTATGTTTCCTGAGAACTAAGAAAAAATAGCTTTACTTACATGTAGCCATGGTGCTCAGAAAGAAGCAATGATCTTAGAGTTGGGAGACTTTAAGCAAATACCTAGACCTTCTGAGCTTTTAGATTTTCATCATGAAGTAAAGAGAGAAATTCTACCTTCCATGCAGTATAGTTTTTAGGACCCTAGAAAACATAAATAAATTGCTGGCACTTTTACTATGCTGTACTTTCTAAGCAATAACTATTATTGGTAATATTAGTATGATCATGATGATGATGATTGGTTACTATAAATGGAATACAGAAGACACAGTAGAAAGTCACTCTGTCTTTGGCCATTTTTCCATGAAATTGAGGATGTTGAACATGCTCTTTTGAATGAACTGGCAAACCCTTGCAAAGCATCAAACCGACTACTGTGAAATAATGTATCAGCTACATGAAGGCCAGAGCACAGTACCAGTATGATTAAAGGGAAAACAAAGGAGAGAGGCCCTGTATACACTCAATTTAAATTGGCTTGATTTTCAGATACAGCATCAAATTTTGTTTTTTTCCACAGAACAAGGATGAAGCCTGTGGTATTAGATTTTGATTATTTCCCAAGGCTGTCACAGGACTCAAACTAAAAAAAAAAAGAAAGTTCTATTTTCTCTTTAAAACACAAACATTAAATAAATTCCAAGAAAACTAACTTTTTCTTCTAGTTAATATGATCATATTAAGACATCAAACTTCTCAAGATTAAAAGAAAAAAGGTTAAATACACAGAGTTAAGAGGAGTTGAAAGTGAATTAATGCTAAATCAGATAGGTATTATCTCTGAAAGGCTGATGCAGTTATTACAGACAATGTTTCAATAACACTGATGGGCAAGGTGGACTTTATTTAAAACAAAATATAATCTTATTCTAAGAAGAGGCAATAATAGATTATAGGACAGAATCAATTACCAATTTCTGTCAGATTCTTCATGACTTTTATTTGTCAGACTTGTTATGAGCATTACTTTACATTCCTCATTCAGCAAGTCTTTTGAAAGTGAAACTTTTATTACATTTCCCAGGGAGCAGAATGAAATAAAATATCTGAATGTTTAAACCTACATAGATAAGTCAGTTTCACTAACTTTGAACTCTCCTTGCTCTAATAAATCCTGTCTACCTTTTGTATGAATGGCCAGGCCAAAATATACAAAGTTCCCAGAGATATTTTATAAATTCCTAGAATATGAAGCAACCCTGGATTATCCTAGGAGAGCCAATCACCATGATTTCGGGAGTTTGCTCATTCATAAATACAAATGAGCAGGATTGATTCAACTAATACATTAATTAATATAGATAATATAACCAGGAGAAATAATTCACACAAAGGAAATTTGACATTTGCTAAAAATGTACAGGTAAAGTTTAGACTTACCAAAATTGACCCAGAAAAATTATATGGTAGCAATAATGCCCACAGAGAAAACTCACAATGATGGATGACAGCACTGATAAGATTAATAAGGGTGAGAAAACAGAAGAAATCAATTTATTGATTCCATTGGAAATAATGTAAACAATGCTGAGACATATTATAAATTAATTCCTGAGGTATGGTGATTGGGTTAACTCCACATAATAGGAACACAGATAAATCCCCCACATACTCAGAAAGAATCATCACACCCACGCCCTCCAACATTAAGTAAATAAATGAGTATCTACTACACATAAAGAGGTCATCCTAAAGTTTGTAATATCTGTATCAGATGTCTCAAAGCAGCAGATTTTGTGCAAAATCTGATTTTAAGTATTCTGTGGTCAGCACAGTGTTTACAAAAAATTAAAATCCAAAACCATGAGTCATCATTTAAAAAATTATGTTTTCATGGAAAAGACTGGGTTTGTAACCTCTTTTGAAACACCTGTTCTGGAACTTCTGAGCTCTTATTTCCACAGGTGACAACTGGATAGTGTAGAGCAGTGTCTGAGCCCTTTAGGTAGAGCATGTACCTCATAGAAATCACTCAATTATGCAACACACATGGCCCCTGTAAGTATTTCTGTTCAAAACCCCTTCTGAAAGCCCTTGAAATGCGAGAATACCGTGAGGCATCCTGTGCTATTCCAAGAAACCTCTTCCTTTTACAAGAAATTGGCTGGGTGAACATAGGCAAGACATGCACACTTTCAGATCTCCAGCTTCCTGGGCGGCAGCAACTTGATTCATGGTACTGTGAAGAGGATTAAAAAATATAATGTATGAAAATATCAAGCACAGTGTTTGCCTCATAATAGATGCTTGGGAAAAGATAGCCATGATAATGACCATTAACTGAAGAACTATATATAGTCATAGTCCTCTGATGTTTAAAGGACAAAGAAAGAGAAACAAAATACGTCTGGCTTATGGATAGTGGAACGATGTTGCTGTGCTGTTACACATCTGTAAGGCTAATGTTAGAGATTGCTATGAAATATTACCAGCTAGTCAGTCAAGGCTCTGTTCTCAGGCATGGTGGGTAGAAAGTATCACTGTCTAGGGCTACTTGACCATGGGGGCGGTAGCAGAAGGAAACTTCACTTGTCTCTTCTTGTGCCCATTTAAACTATCAGTGTCTCCAGAGAGATTTCTCATTATGAAAGCTGAGGCAGCTCAGTGGTTCTTAAATACCATATCACATTTCATATCCCCTTTTTAGTTGGTAAGGTATGTATTTTCTCACTCACATACAGTATGCAAGAATTTAACCTTCTAAAAAGAAACTTTTGGTTCTCGGTAATTCCCCAATAATGATAACATAGTAAACATAGCTTGCAATCACCATCATTTATAATTTGGAACTTCATGACAAAATTTATTCTGAGAAAGAATCAAAATTATAAAAGATAGGTAGAATTCATAAAACAAAGCTGTAAGTCAAATTTAAGAGTTGTTATTCGTAAACTTTATTGTGGTGGCAGAACTTTAGAGTTCTGATTTATAACATAAATCATTTATATCTCAAGTGTAAAATAAGGTTGGGAAAATCAAATCCCTTTATTTCAGATTTATTGCATGATTTGTAAACCTGTCCCTCTGTTTGTATATTTTTTCCTGTGCCATGTACATAAATTTTGAATGTTTCAGGATTTTCATGTGTGTTTTATAATCAATCACATACTTTCAAAAACTGTGACTAACTGTGATCCCTAAAGAATGCATACAAATACTAGTCTAGTTCTTCCATTTAACAGGAAAAGATTTATACGTGGTAAGTATACTTTCTAGTCTGTGTTGATTCAAGCATAACTTCATAAATAAGAATAACAATAACATTTCTTTAACCCGCATTCAGCTTCTGAGTCTGAATCCTATCTGGGAGCATAGCATGCTCATCCAAAAGGAGCCATCTCTTTAGAAAGCCTGAATCTCCTTGGCTAATATTACTTTATTTCTCCAAGAGGCTGCAATAAAAAATAATAATAATTGCCTTGATGTTTGGAACTACTTTATAGAATAGGTATAACCAAAAGTGCACTACACAGGTAATTGTCTTGAGAACTAGGTTTGACTAGTTCTGTCACATATTAACTGTGCAGCTCTCTGCATGTCACTGCCTCCTGGTTATCTTCATCTGTAAATAAGAAGGCTGGACTCTTGAGGACACTTCCAGGATGAATCGTGTGTGAATCAGTGTTTCTACCATCTATACCAGATTCTCACAATGACTCGGTCTTTCTAGAGTTGTTTCAGGTGACCAATTTTATTGATCTTCCTCTATAACAGAGATTATGCATTTTATTTCCTTTGTAATCTATTTTTGGCATAGCCACACATTCTGCATGAAGTAGTTAGCAATTTATTGGCATATATTCGCCCAGCTAGCCAGCCAGCCACCCAGCTACTCATCCATTCTTCCATTTATCCATGCCCCAATTAATTCCCTTATCCAGTCATTCATTCAACAAAGATTAACTGAACAAACACCACTTACAAGGTTGTTAGTGAGGCTTTCTTGGAAGAATTGTGTTAAGATATAAACTTACAGGGAATTTCTTTCTTGTTTTTATAGAACATGGAAGAACCTGTGTGGTTGCTTAGTAGATGTTTGGGAGTCAGATACCATCTGGGTTCAAAATCCAACTCAACTCCAGGCCTATCAAGGTCAGATGGTGCTGATAACTCTGATTTTACTTCCACCTAAATCCTCCTCATAAAGGAGTTACCTCTCCATCCAGACCTCTCCCTATGTAGCACAAGTCACTAGTCTCCTATCTCCTGCATTATTATTTACAGTTTCTTCCTGGCTGCAATGCACACCAACAATCTGTTTTTGCTTTTCAGCACAGAGGATTCTTTATGTTGGCTCTCTCTCTCTCTCTCTGTCTCTCTCTGTCTCATATGACCTTGTATTTTGAAATATTATATTAAACTTGCATTTATCAATGAATGGGAGGGAATGAAATTTAGAGACAATTTTTCATGTCATTTTGCTAGGCACTTTATATAGATTATCTCACTGTATCCTGACAAGAATCTTTCATAGTAGATACTATTGTCCCCATTTTATAGATGCAGAAAGGTTAGGTCACCTTTTCATGGATACAGTCTGAGATACTGACTTACTTCTATTTTCTGGCTCCAAAATCTATCCTTGTTCTAAAATACTTCATTTCCTAGTCTTTATTGATCACAGCTGGAAAGAACTGCTGATCTGTAATCCTAGTATAGATACGAAAACCAATATTTTCTAATGTAAAACATTTCCAGAATTTTCTTATTTTGGAGACATGCCTAATTTCTGCTAGACTTTTTGAAATAATGATAGTAGCTTAGAGGTATTCAATTATTACCTTTTTCTTCCAATTATAACACTAGAAATCTAGGAATTGAAAATTGTGAACCATCCTATATGCCTCCCTAGGATTACCTTTTACCAAGGCTTAAACCAATTTACAACTCAATGGCTTTATTTGCCAAAGCAAACTACCAGCAACCACATACATACATGCTTTGTAACTGCAATTAATCTATTAAGTCCTCACAAATATCCTATTTGGTCAGTACTATTTCCGCTGTTTAAGTGAATTTCCCAGGTCACACAGCTAGTAAATTTTACAGCTAATCTAATAGACTAGTAGTCTTGTTCCTCCAACAGATTCTGACTTTAAATTTTAAGGCCCAGTATGCTTTGAGGTTCCTTGACCTTTTTCTTCTCACTGTTTTCCAGCATAAGTCAGTCACCTCTCAGTAATGGGTCACACCAAAACCCACTCTCAACTCTCTCCTTGTTCATTTATTTCTCCCACTTAGAATGTTTTCCTGGTAACAACAAACCACTAAAATTTTTCTGAGAACTTGCTATAGGGAGCAATTTATAGGCATTATCTTATCTAATGCTCACTACAGTTCTTTCTGTCAAGTATCATTATCTCCATTTGTCAAGCGAGAAGACTGAGGAAATGGAGAGAGGTTAAATTTATTGCCCAGGGTAAAAATTATAGAACTGGGGTTGGTTTCAGGTCTGAATCCACCAGCCATTATGGTAAATACCATCATACCATCTTAACAAGGGAAAGCCCAAATCCAAATTTAAAAATGGGGTGTAACAGAAATAGTGCAGTTTTGGTGTTAGCATATATTTTCAGTGGAAGTAGTATGTTTCCCACTGGGACAGAAATAGTTGTTGGGTTTTTTTTTTTTTTTTTTTTTTTTTGAGTCTATAAATAAATCTTAGACATCGCAATGGTTTGTGCCTTCCAATAGGCCCCAAATACATAAACGACTATACAAGATAGCTGTAGTATGAAAATGTCAATGCAGGAGTGGAGAGATGAATAGGAAAAACAATGCCTAAAACAACTACTGGAAGAAAAGTGATGATTTAAAAAAAGCCAAGGACCTTGCACTCAAATCTCTAGACAGAAGATTTTGTTGGTTGACTATGGAAATATGCTCCAGGTACATTATATATCTTAATTTCTGCACAGAAAAATATATAGAAGAAGGGGTGAATTGCCTGCCCCTGGCCTACTTTAACCACATGTTAGTTGTTTCAGTCAGGTTTTTAGCAAGAAGAGAGTTCAAGGTTGAATGTGGTACGATACCTAAATCAAGATATTGTAATTTCCTTTTAAGACAGAAAGGGTATTTGAGTGTCCAGATGAAACTACTAACACATTCAATAAGCAGTTATAAAAGTTCCACCATATGTGCTGTCACTGTCCAATGTATTAGAAACACAATGACAAAAAGAATACAGTGTCTGTTGTTGAGAAGCTCACAGTCTAGTTGACTACTTCTAAAATGCTAGTGATGGAACTTCATAGCAGGGCTTTCAAATGTACCATTGCCCCCAAAGCTATTTCCACACCTAATAACCTAACCGAATGTAAGCTCCTCTGCTTTAACTCCTTTTCATCATTGAAGATTGCATTTCAAAACTGTCTCCATAGGAAACCATTGCCTGGCTGCCTGCAATCAAATCTAACGTAAATGCCCATGCAAGTCTTCATGTAACCCATATCGCATTTATATTCACTTGTTCAATATCAATTGATTTGATGGTCTATAGGCTGTGAGGGAAGAATCTACTTTTATCTACCTTGGAATTTGTACAGTGACTGGTTTACAATAAGAATTAAATAATTACTTGGTGTTTATGCCATTGAATGGTGGACAGCAATCCAGAATCAATTGAATGAGAACTTTTTGAACACTATTCATGCATCAGACACTGTGTTAGGCACTTAAGATATAAAAGACTGGTGTTTTGCTTTCAGGGACTTTATGGATTAGTTAGGATTAGAGCCAGATTGAAAAAAAACACACAAAAACAAACAAACAAACAAACAAAAAACAAGAAGATAATCTCTTCCTCAGAAAGTAGACTATTTGAGTAATAATTCAAATGTACAAGTGTTTTCACAATTAATATCACATATGAGTCAAATAATAAACTGTTACACAATGTAATCCCTTATTTCCATTTTACTAATGGACAATTCTAGGCTGAGCGAGGTCCTGCCATAATCACATGGGTCGAGACAGCATGCAGGGACTCAATTTATCCCTTTCAGCTCCATGATTCTCCCCGGGAAGTGTTTTGACTGAAAGCCAAAAAGTCAAGGCTCCTGTGCAGTTAAGAGTGTTTTTGAACTTGGAAAGAAAGTGTATCTGTCACTGGATTTGTGGGGTTCTCCTGCATGAAAGACATTCATTTAAAATGTTTCCTAGAGTGTCAACAGGTAGTATATAATTGATCAAGCATTTTAGGAGTGAAGTGACTAAACATCATCCCAAAGGAAGGCTTAGCATCAGAGAATTATCGTTCTTTGGCTTCCCTTGACAAGGGGTATAAATCAGCAGGTGGATGCGCCTGTCTTGCTTGGAGAAATTGCAGCTTTATAAATAAAAACACTAATCCATGCTGCTGCTGACCAGCCTCTGCTGCCAGCTCACAACTTCAGTCTCTCACCAGCCTGCCCTGGGGAACTTTCCCATTGCCAGTGTTGAATATTTTGTACTGTTTTAAATATAATTCTGTTAAATAGTAACAAAGAAAAATACGAACTCATTTAGAACATTTGGACAATGTAGGATAATGTTTTAAAAATAAAAATCATTCATAATCTCACTACCCAGAGACAAGATCCATTAATATTTTTGAATATTTCCTCCAGTCTATTTCTTCTATAACAGGATTTTTTTTTCCATAATTGAGTTAAATGTATAAGTTTGCTTTTTCTTTAAACTTAATAAATTATATAATTTTCAATTGCTATTATAAAATCTTTGTATATAAAATGCACTGGCTTTAGATTTCATCACGTGGAAAATCACTGTTTAATCCATTCTCTATTTGGAAAATTTGGTGATATTTTGTTCTAATTTTTTACTCTTTTAATTAACACTGTGGTGAGTGTCTTAGTGGCCAGAGCTCCTTTCTTATTGTTCTGGATTTATTTCCTATATTCCTTCAACAAACAAAAATGGGCCATCTATTATACTCATGGATATTTTAGGTGTTAGAGATACAATCAAAAGCAAAAGAGCCGTCTTCCTGTTCACGTGGAGCTTACATTCTGTTTTGGACATGAACGAATGAACAGTCTCTGGGGTGAAAATGTCAAATTAGAAACACAGAGGAGTCTTTAGGAGTACAAAGGAGGTCAGATAACCCAGATGAAAAGTTAGTGATAAGGCTTCCTGGAGTAATTGATTTTAAAGGATAAAAAAAAATGGGTAAAAAAGAAAAGGACAAATTAGTTTATATAGTTAGAATGGTGTGTGTATGATTCCTTTGGGGAACTCAAAGATATTTATTACTTTGAGATACTCAAAATGAGAAATGAGAATGATGAGGTTGAAGATTAACAAGCACAAAGGTCGTAAAGGACAAGTTTAAGACTGTATTTGAGACACTGACTTTCACCCCAAGGGTAACATAGAACTATTAAGGCATTTTATCTAGGAAAGTAATACGGTGAGATTTCTGTAAAGTAGGATTCCTGGAAGCTGAATTACTGGGATATAGAAGATATCTTTTAGGGTCCTGAAATATGTTGCGAAACCATTTTCCAAAGCGTTACCATAATGCTTGCCTTCCCATTGGCCTCATACAAGAAAGGCCATTTGTTATTGGGTGTAACAATGTCTCACATTTACTGGAACACATTTGTGCTCTTGGTACTATACTAACTGGTACTTTACATTCATTTGCTTAGTGAGGCCTTACAGCAATCTGTTAGGGTTGAAAATATTGCGTCCATTTAACAAAATTTCTTAAAAGTTACAAAGAAAGAATAATTTTCCCACAGTCGTGGAAGAAGTAAATAGCTGGACTTAGGTCAAATCTAAGCATGCTTGAGTCTTACAGTCCATTCTCCCTTTTAATAAGCTTCGACACCTTTCAACTCATTATTGATATCTATAATTCCCATAGAATATAATGCCAGCATTCATTATCTTGCCTAGGTTTTATTTCTATAGGAATTTTATAAAATTTGTATAGACTTTTCTGGAATTTGACTTCTCTTAGGAAAACCATCTGTGAAAGAAAGAAGAACAGCAAAGGTTAGGTGATGGGAGACAGGCTTAGTTACAGGCAGGTGGCGTGTTTACACAGTACCCTTTATCTTCCCTGTTACCATTACAGAACAGCTGTTAATCTGTTTTCCCCAGATTAATGTTAGCAATGGATCAGATGCAGTTGCCCTGAAAAGTGCCAGACCTCAGGATGTAAAAAAAGTAAATAACTTAAGTTTAGAAGGAGGCTTGCTTCTCAATGATATCAGGCTGGAATGATAGAGAGCCCTTTGTCTCTTTAGGCCTTACTCTGGCTACATTCATGACTGTGAATTAATCCATGTTTGTAGACTCCTCACAGCACAATATGGAGCTGCCCATCATTGCTAACTGTCAGTGAAGAGAAAGGCTTGGGCAGCCTTAAAGTGTGAACCAAACTGTGGGTCCAATATTTGCAATCAATTCCCTTTTCCTTAGTTTTATTGCAATTATATTCATTGAACACAGTCCACCAAGGATTTGAGAATAAACTACATATTGAAATTTGAAAGATCTTGCAAAATGTATAGAAATATTACCTAAGACAGATAATGGAAAGGAGCAATGATGTAGATCCATTGAATGAGGCAAAATGGTTTGCCCTCTTACCAGCTATGATAACTTATTCTCTTTAAATGTCAGTTTCCTTCTTTTTCCAATGATGACAGTAATGATACCTATTGTGATGGTGAAGAGTAAATGCCATGATTTATCAAATATATCTAACACTGTATCTGAGAGGGTAAAAGGAAGTTCTCCTTAAAAATAGATTATCAAAAATATTAAATAAAATTATTTAAATATATTATATATGGTTTGTTGCTATGTATCATTTTTAAATTACATATTCAGTTACTTAAAATATAGTTTTAAATTTTATTGCATGGAATTGAGAAAACCATCCTGATGGAATAGTGTGATAAAACCACTATATTTGCTAGCAACAAAAGCCCTACATTTGAGTCCCAGGTTTACCACTGTGGTTACTTATAAAAGTCATGTACCTTCTTGTGCTTCCGTTATATCATCTTATCTTGGGTATCTTAGGATCTGCCATATGTTTCATAGTGTTATTATGAAAATTACTTGTCACTTTCCAAGTAGATGATTCTGTGATGTATTCAATGTCAGGCTTTTTCTGAATAGACTGGAAGTCCAAGGTGGCCTGAGAGAAGAAACATGGCTATATCTTTAACTCTAAGATAAAAAAGAGGGTAAAAGCTCAGACAGCAGGGCAATTCTCCCTGGCCCATAAAAGAAGGCAAGTCCTTCAGGCTGGCAATTCAGAGTCAGGCCCTGGGGTTGATCTCTTTTCCTCTTGGAGCACATTGACGATAGCCACAGATGGAGTTCATGGACCAAAAGGCAGCTCACAGAAGCATGGAAGTGACCATGTCTGTTCAGAGTGTGGCTGGCTGTGAGGAACCAGGCTTCCTCCTGAGATGATGGCCCAGGATAGCCATCACAGCTGCAGACTTCACAGAACATTAGCTTCAGAAGTCACTTTTTAGGTCACACACAAAACCCATCTCTCTTATGGTCACAGAGCACAGGCTGGCTCCCAAGCTCCCACTTTTAGGCTCAGAAAAGCACCTGCCACCACGCCCTCTTAGGCAGTAGCTCTGTAGCCCTTCAGGTGAGACCTGCTAGGACAGGTATAACTTTGGCCACCTGCATTGCATAAATGTCCCCTTTGCTTGACTTTGTTTCTTCATTAACCTCTTTCCTCTCATTTTGACCTCACCCTCAGGTTTGATGATTCCTGCTACTTAGGGCCCTGCATATATTATTCTCTTGTCTTGGGCCACACTAAGTTTCTAGAGTTTTCAGAGCTGCTACTTCTGTATCAGTACTGAAAACTAGAATGTATCATCTCCTATGTGTTACATATGATTCAACACACAAGAGGCAACTGGAACCCCAAAAAGTTAAAGAAAATATCTTGTTAATGCTTTGGGCATAAAATATAGGCTATATTTTCCTGTTAAAATAATTGGAGAGAACACAATTATGTACGTCAGGGCCCTTTTAAAGAGAAGTTTCCTTGGCATGTGCATTATCACATACATTCTCTTATAGAGCTGGGGATAAAGAACAAATTTAACTTACAAAATGGTGGCAAATGGTATTCAGATGGCTTAAACATCCTTAAATACATTACTATAGTTGATGACTACATCTACTACTATGTAATCAAAAGAGTCAAGATTTTTATAGCATTATGGCAGAGATAAGTAAACTATGATTCATGAGCCAAATTTTGATTGTCACCTATTTTTGTAAATAAAGTTTTCTTAGAACATGGCCATAATCATTTGTTTTCATATTGTCTGTGGTGCGTTTGCATTGCAATGACAGAGCTGAGTAACTGTCACAGAGACCATATGTCTTGGAAAGCCAAACTATCTAGCCTTTTACAAAGTTTGCTGAATCCTGCCTTATGGCAAAGAGAACATATAGGATCCAAACTACGGCAATGTGTCCATCTACGACCTGTTAAAATAACTTTTTCTGTTAACTATCTGAGACATAAAGGAGCTCAGTGTGTTTATTAAAAACAATGTCAGACATTTTTTGTTCTAGATAATTGACTTACTACAATTCTTCTACCTGATTTAAACATTTCCCGAGACACGAAATACAATTAAACAAACCAATCCCAACTTGGAAACAGAACTGAATCCTTGATTATTCAGAGAATGTTTCACGGTCGTCATTATAAAGGTAGATTCTCATCATCCTGCTCACTCTTGGAAGGAACTAGCAGTATGATGCAGACGAACAGCGCAGAGTGACCTTGGTTACACCAAAATAACCTTTGAAAGTGGTTAATCTAGAGTTCAGAATTGTGGCCCTGCGAATATTTCTCTCAGTAGAGTTGAACTATGTTGTTATTTCTCTCTCTCATGTGACTAAGTTCTTGAAGAAGAGGGACTATATTTTGTTTTGGTTTTATTCTCAGTTGCCTCAACACCTAGTACAACGTCTGACACTTAGTAGATCCACAGTTAATGTTCATTGAACTGAACTGAGTAAGTAGTGTTTTCCAAATATATATGACACTACTCATTGGCTATGGTTACAGGCATTCTGAATCACTTATCCCTTGCCAGCTTACACTTTGGAGGCTGAAAAATCTCCCTACTGCTTTATCAACATCTCTTGCAGCTAGAGAGGGCCAGATGACAGTTTAGTTAATGATACATAAGGAATTATTGATTATGGAGTTTCTGGAAGTTTCCTGTTTATCTGATAACAGGGACAGACACAAATGGCAGTGTCTCTTTCCATCTTTTTCTTGCCTTGAACGTGGAGGCGATGCCTGCTGCTAGGAAAGCTAATCTGTGAATATAAGACAATTAGCTAATAATATTGTGAATAGTGGAGTAGAAAGGTAAACAGAGATTGGGTGTTTATAAGGAGTCCCTGCACTAGCCCCAGACTGTTTATATCCAGATTTCTTGTTTCATTAGCAATGTAAATCCCTATTTGTTTAAGCCTTTGTTAGTTTGAATATCTGTTACTTCTGGCTAAAAATGTACCTAATTGTCTCAACAATATTTGTGGAAAGCACATCAACCTGGAGATCAATTAAAATAACAATTCTCACAAACTATTCCTATAAGAAATCTTGGGGCTGGACACAGTGACTCATGCCTGTAATCCCAGCACTTTGGGAGGCCGAGGCAGGTGGATCCCCTGAGGTAGGGAGTTTGGGACCAGCCTGGCCAACATGGTGAAACCCCAAGTCTACTGAAAATACAAAAATTAGCCGGGCATGGTGGCAGGCGCCTGTAATCCCAGCTACTCAGGAGGCTGAGGGAGGAGAATCACTTGAACCTGGGAGGCAGAGGTTGCAGTGAGCCAAGATCATGCCATTGCACTCCAGCCTGGAAGACGAGAGTGAAACTTCGTCATTAACTAGAAAAACCTCATTCTAGAAGGGCATCTTTGCAGGAAGATAGTGGAGAAGAGAAATTAAATTGTTAATAATCTACTACATTCCAGGGACTCTACTTAGTCTTTTGTTTTTCTAATGTCATTAAATCCACACAATGACACTCTTAGGTGGTATCATTAACGCATAGATGATACGATGTGTTAAGAAAGGTTAAGAACTTTGTTTAAAAGGCATAAATCTAGGAAGCAACAAGGTGCAATTCAAAGCAAGTTCTTTATAACTCTAAAATCCATATTAACTTAAAGTATAATAATAATAAAATAAAATAAAATAAAGAATTTCTTTCATGAATGGGTGTTAAAGTTTATCAATTTTTTTTCTGTATTTGCTGGAATGATTTGTGCTGTATTATCATTCTCATACATTGTTGGAGTTGGTTTGCTATTATTTTGCTTTTGATTTTTTCATTTATACTCACTAATAAAATTTGCTAAAATTAAAAAAAAAATCCATATTGATTCTAAAATCTTGTACTACTTTTTAAAGAAATGAACCTTGGCTAATTTCTAGACTGTCCATGAACTATTAGAGAAGCTCAAATAAAACTCAAATAAAATATTCCCTGGAAAGAAAAATAAATCACCTCTCCAGAAATCAGATATGGACTTCTCAATCCAGGGCACTCAAACTTCCACCTTTCAGATTTGACTGTTATTATTAAATTAAGGCATCTTCAATTTTTTTTTCTAATAGGACTCTCAAAACCCAGTGAGTCACCAAGCCTTGATGTACAATATAGAATAGAATACAGAAGCTAGAAAGCCTTATATATATGTCTCTTTGTCATATACCAAGAGAGTGAAACCATAAGCTGTGCCTTCTCATTCAGCAATGATGCTGCTGTGTACTCAATTGTGTCCCTCCTAAATTCCTATGCTGAAGCCCTAATTCCTATTGTGATGGTATTTGAAGATAGGGCCTTTGGGTGGTAATTAGGTTTAGTTGAGGTCATAAGGGTGGGAACCCATGATGGGATTAGTGCCATTATAAGAAAAGACACCAGAGAGCTTATTCTCTTACTCTCTCCTCACCAAGTGAAGACAGAGAGAGAAAGCGGCCACCTATAAGACAGGATGAAAGCCCTCACTGGGGTTCAATGGTGCTGGCACTCTGAGCCGGTACCTCCAGCCTCCAGAAGTGTGAGCAAATAAACTGTTGTTTGAGCCAGATAGTCTACAGTATTTTGTTACAGCAGCCTGAAATGATTCAGAAAGATTTTCTGCAGGACTAACAGGTATATCTTTTGTACTTCCCTTTTTTAGTCAATAGACCAGATGAAGAGAACTGAGAATTACAATATTTGTTTCCAACTCCACTACACCCATTTTTGGAAGACCTGTTTTGAATCCACGTTTCCAAGGATGATTTACAAAAAGACGGCAAACTGAACAAAGCCCTGAGGAAATATTGACAAGTACAACCTTTCCCCAGAAGCAATACACATTGTCCCGGTGCCTGTTTATTGTCACCTTTATCTCCTTACTTGGGCTTGTCAGCAAGTGGTGCACCAGGATTTATCTTGTTGAGGCTCAAAGCTTTAGTGGTGTTGTCATTCGCCAGCAGCTCTGGGTTCCTCTCAGCAAAAACAGTGGAAAGCACTTTTAATTGTAAGATATATTATGTTTAACTTCCACTAAAAAAAGATGGTGAAGGAAAAAAAAATTTTAAGTGTTTTTAGTTTGTAAATGAAAACCTAGTATTTATTTTGGAAAGATGGGTACAGTTATTTTTTCCCCATGTTTGTTCTATTCCCTTTAAGCTTCTAAAGGAACAAACAAAAAAACAGCTTAACTGAAATTAACAAAGGATGATGAAACATTTTTAAGCCTTCAAAAGGATAATACTGGATACTTGTAATTGCTAGCAATATTTGGAGTTAAGGGATAACGTTTAAAACTCAACTGAACTTTCTTTACGGTGGTAAGGATTTCTAAAAGTGAGATTCTAGGCCCTAGAATATTACCTTGGTTAGATAGACACCATTGTTACCTACATTTTACAAATAGAAAAAGTGAAGCTGAAGAAATTTGTGTTACTTGGGCCTGGTCACATTCCTAGCACCTGATGTGTTCAGGCTACAACCAAAGATTTTGGCTCCAATTCTAATGTTCCTTTCAATTTACTACATTGTCTAGTAATAGTGGCTTTGCTGGTGGTCATAGAGGTAAGAATAATGACAAGCATGTTTTGAGCACTTACACAATGAACAGGGTCTCTATTAGACTCTACAGGTAAAAACAAGAAATGAAGACACTTCTGCCCGAGCAGATGCAAGTACATATTTAGTAAAAATGAAAGAACATGACTGTGGTTCAGTCCAATATTATTTTTGAGCATCTAATCTGGCAAAACTGATTTGCTCTTGGAGTAGCTTATATAGAATGGAAACATATCAGGATCAGGGGGCTATCTTTCTCAAATACTCATCCAGTACCTGCATGCCCTTCATTAAGTGTTCAACCTTGCTTCCACCTGAAAATGTTACGTGCAAATAACTCCCTCTTTGTTCAAGAAGCTGATTTAATCTCTGGCAAACTCTGCCTGAAATAATTTTTTTATTAGTGTGCGTTCCACAGTCAGATGGTCTAGAATGAAATACTAGCCCCATCAATTACTTATTGTGTTGCTTGGGGCAAATTACTTGACCTGTCTATTCTTCAGTTTTCTCACGGGCAAAATAGAGATAATAATATTATCTCATTTGTAGTATTGTTTTGTGGATTAAATTATTAAATGCATGAATAGCATTTAGAACACCGCATTATATTGTAAGTGTGCATCATGGCACTTACACACATACATATATAATCTTTTTTTGTTTTTTTTGAGACGGAGTCTCGCACGGTCACCTGGGCTGGAGTGCAGCGGCACGATCTTGGCTCACTGAAACTTTCGCCTCCCAGATTCAAGCAATTCTCCTTGCCTCAGTCTCCCAAGTAGCTTAGATTAGAGGTGCCCACCACCACGCCTGGCTAATTTTGTATTTTAGTAGAGACAGGGTTTCACTATGTTGGCCAGGCTGCTCTGGAACTCCTGACCTCGTGATCTGCCCGCCTTAGCCTCCCAAAGTGCTAGGATTACATATGTGAGCCACCGTACCCAGCCTATAATCTTTACTGTAACAAAATAATAAAATTTTTCTATTAGTTATAGTAATAATCATTATAATACTTCTAGTAGTAATTGAAGATTTTTTTTTTCACTATAGCTACAAGTCTGGTTTTTCTCATCCTACTCTACTGTACCTACATAAAGCAAGGGTAATAATTCTTTCATTTGACAGTTTTTTTTTCAATGTCTGATTCTAGAAGATAAGCTTTCTATTATTGGAGGTCAGCATTTTCCTCTCTCAATCGCTTTTCTAACATCACAACCTAAGTTAGTTTAATACTGAAATAAGAACCAAAGCCTGACTTTCAGCTCCGGGTTTCTCCCCATGAAACTAGTCTCTCGAAATGTAAACATTGCACCTTCCTCAATTCTTTTCAGAGCATTAAATCAAACTTCTTTCTAGGTAACGTTTTTAATACTCCTCAAAATTGTAATTAAAATGAACCTATTTTGCAGCATTATAAACTCAAATTTTGTACTTTCTTCATATTATGAGACCTTTCATTTCAACCTAAGAATATTAACTTCCTAGTGGCCCAAAGAAAGAGAAAAAGAATCTATTATTAAAGATTATATGCCACACTTTTCTATAATTTGAATGACTAAGTAAACATACTAAATATAATACTAATGTCATATTAACACATGAGTGTACGTTGAAGGTCTTTCTCACTTGTGAATGTGGGAAATTAATGACAATTGCTGTAACATAATCTAAGCACAACCAGAACAGCCTTCTCAAAGCCATAAACAAACAGAACACTTAGCCCTGATTAAAGAACAGAGGGTATTTCCCTTTTGCAGAGACGCATCATGCCTCCCATGAGCAGTACATGAGACACTACATGTACAAGATTCATATTGCATATTGACCTCCACTGAGCACAGAGTCTTGGATATCTTGTTCACTGCCATTATCCCGGGAGCTAGAGCAGTAGTTGGCACATGATAGGTGGATCAATAAATTCAGAGTTAATGTATTAAGAAATGAATATCAGTTCCTTTCTCCTCTCACAGATCTTTTTTATTCTTGGTGGTGTGCCTTACAGCCTCAACATGTCAAATGATTTTTTCTCCCCCAGGGATCCTTTATAAAAACTTGCTGTCAGAATTTTCATTTACAATGAAGTAGAAAAGTAGGATGAAAGTTTAATTTATCACTCATGCATTTGATGATTCAAAAATCATTGTTGATCACTAAACACCTTGAATACAAAGAGGGATGAGAACATGTACTATTGCACCATTCCTTATTTCTCTACATACATTTCCTCTGTTTTTCATTTGTATAATCTGTTCTAGTCAAACAAAACTTGTTTCAGCTTCTAGAACATAAGTTATGCTCTTTCTCATCTTCAGGCCTTTGGGCAACCTTAGACATCTCTTCTCCTTTTCTCCTGTTCTCTACCTTTAAAAGGAAGTCTCTGATAGTTCCAAAACAGGTTAGGTGTTTCTCCCTGTGCATTTAAGTACTTTATTTATTGCACTTTATTATAATTGTTTGGCTTTTTTCCCCCTGTATCTCTTCCTAGACTCCTTAGATGCTAAATTCCATGAAGGCATTGACTATGTCCGTTTCCAAGTAGCCACAGTAAATAAACGAGAATAGTTACTTAGAACATCAGCAAATCAGTATATGTTGGAATTAAGGTATTATCACACACATACACAGACCACCCAATTGAGTATGCCAGTGTTACAGATGAGCAAATCACAGCTCACAGTGATATAGTGACCTCCTCAGTGTCTCAAAACCAGCTTGTGGCAGAACTAGAGTAACCACTTAGGGGACATTACTGCCCATCCAAGTGTTCTTCTTTTCACACCATATTAGCCTTTTCCCATTTTAGCTCTCTTTTAATAAGGGCCAAGGACTTGAACTACAATCTTTTTTTTTTTTTTTTTTTGAGACAGAGTCTCGCTCTGTCGCTCAGGCTGGAGTGCAGTGGCATGATCTCAGCTCTCAGCTCACTGCAACCTCCGCCTCCCAGGTTCACGCCATTCTCCTGCCTCAGCCTCCCGAGTAGCTGGGACTACAGGCACCCACCACCACTCCCAGTTAGTTTTTTGTATTTTTAGTAGAGATGGGGTTTCACCATGCTAGCCAGGATGGTCTCAATCTCCTGACCTCGTGATCCGCCTGCCTTGGCCTCCCAAAGTGCTAGAATTACAGGCGTGAGCCACCATGCCTGGCCTTGAACTACAATCTTAAAGCTCTAACTGTGGCAAAAGTTTAATCACCAGTCAAAATATAGAAACCCCAAGTCTTTCCCAGTGGCCTCCCCTCAAAAGCTATCATATAAGAAATTTGACTGAAATTCCTGTTTGTATGTCTGATCTTGAATTTATTTCTATGCATATACTTTAAAATATCTTGAGAACCTACTCAAAAATTTTTACATTAGAATTTCCTATATGCCCTTCTGCCCTTTATGTACTTTACATACATTAACTTACATGATTATCACACAACTCAGTAGAAATTTATTCTTCTCATTTTACAGATGATCAAACTGAAATTAAGCCGAGTAATTTACCCAAGTCCACTCATCGAGTAAATGGAGGATGGGTAATAGAAATCTGGGTCTGTCTTTCATGAAGTGCATGCTTTCACCTGTTTTGTTTTTGTATTTGCTTCTCATTTATGCCATTGTAAGTCTGGAGTATCTAACACAAAAGATAGCCCTTTATCATTCAGCTGAATAACAGCTCTTATTGTAGGGGCTAAGCTTCATTTACGCCTTTGACATTTTAAAGGGCTGTGAAGAAAAAAGAAGCTTGGAGAACTCTTCTCTTGTTATTTCTAAAACTCAGTGGGTATGTATATGTTGATGGGGAAAGACAGGTTTAAATATTGCATTTATTTTTGAATTTTTAATTGGCATAATAATGCATTGTCATTTAAGTTTTAACCTAGACTGCTGTGAGCAAGAATATTGCCCACTCAAATTAGGCTGCAAAATCCCACACAGTTTGATTAACAAATAGCATTCTTTATTCAGCTTTGGTTTGTGGCCTATATAAAACAAGGTGACCCTCATATATTGAAACCATGAACTCAGCCATCCTTTAGTATTATTTCCTTCATTGCCTTGTGTATATACACAGGGAAAGAAAAATGTCTCAATACAAAGTTAAACTTCCCTTGGCCTGGATGTCAGCAGAGCTCCCGAAATTTCTGAAGAGTAAATCAATGTTCTCTGAGATTAAGGCTTTGAGGCACAGTAAATCCTCAATAGAGTGATAACTAAGACTGCACCCATGTCTGCGGACAGAAAATGTTGCCAATTCTCAAAGCATGTCTCTCTTGTTCTTAAAGAGACAAGAATATACTATCCCAATGGCTTCAAAAGATTATGTTATGCCTTCATGAAACTTCTTGGATTTTACCAATCTACTTCTCAAAGCTATCAATATATCTATCATTCACACACAGTGCACACACACGGTTATCTGCCCTCACATACCTTTTAAATGTTGCTCCTGCTTTAACTTTTATCTCTGCACCTATGTGGTCGCTTCAGAATCATTATACTCACTATGCCAGGCACATGACAGGCAACTTAGTTTGAGCTCCATAAAAAACAAAGTCTGAGATGAGAATTTGTGTGCAACAAGTTTATTGGGAATGATCACAGCTGTGGTCAAAGGAAGAGGCTAAGAGAGTAGTTGAATTGCAATGCAATTGTAATAACGGCCTTAGCCTATCTTATGGGGAATTCTAAACTTGGATTAATTCTTCAGAGTGGTCCTACCTTGAGGCAAATGGGTGGATTTTAACCAACTCATTGACCAGTCATTAATGCAGGCTCTCCTCTGGGAGTGGGTAAGATCTTGAGCAAAGTGGCTCTCTGGCTGGAGACAGTTTCTAGAGAGGGATTCACTTGAGTACCATCATCTGCCAACAGTTTCAACATCTGGGAGTATGAGCAGGTGTGCTCTGAAGGGAGGATATGGTCAGCACACCACAGTGCCCTCAGGGCATGTACGGATACTTATGGTATGAATGAATAAATGTGTGCTGGTATGTGCCAGCATACCAAACTAGTCATGTGCCACAGTCGGGAACAAAAAAAACCATGATGTTTGGTTCATGCCTTTAAGAGTTATTTTGGGGGACCATTGCTTTATCGCATTTGCAAAAAGAAAAAAGGAGGAGGAGGAGAAAAAGGCAAAGGAGAAGAAGAAGGGCCTGAGTTTAGCCAGTTTTATTTTTTAAGTGTTTTAAGCTATCACAAAAAGTGTATGCACTTCTAAAACAGGTTGCCCAGTGAGTATTGTTTATTCAAACCAAAGCTAAAATCCAAGAGGTTGAAAAAAAGAGCAGTAAAGTCTGAAAAACACTATGGGAAGGACATGTATCTTTTTAAGACCAAGAGAATTATGCTATGGGATTGGCAAGTTTTTCTAGATTTCATGCTGGTGAATCTGCCTCCTTGTCCTGCTCCTCATTAACAATTTGAAAAGGATCCCCTGGCCATTCCCAGGTTGCTGTCCCCACTCCACATTGTCACCTCCTGCTGGGACTAGTTCACCTCCTGCTGGGACTAGTTCACCCCCTCCTAGTTAGCCTCCTTCTTTATGATCTAGGGTCCCACCACCACCATGCTTCCAACTCCCAAGTCATCCTTCACATTATATAGCTAGAGCATCTACCATTTAAGACAAATTTGTCTTTCCTCTACCTAAAACACTGTATTACTTTCCTTAAGAGCCTCTGAAAGGCAATAAAACTCCTTAAGCAGTTTTTTTTCTGCTTCTTCAACCTTATTCCCAACAGGTTCCTCATATTCACCCATCCACACACTACAGACACTACATCTGTCAATCCTGAATATCTTCATTTATTCAACAATTATATATTATTATATACACATATTGTGATGTCAGAGATATTATATGGGGGAAGGTAAATAATATGCACAAGTGTACAACATGTCTTCCAGGGCAGGCACTTCTTTTCTTCTTTTTCCTGGAATGCCTTTGCTTTATGAATGAGGTAAACATTTACGCATTCCTCAAAAATCCAACTCAGATATAACACATTTAAAAAAAAAATCTCAGCCGGGCCTGGTGGCTCATGCCTGTAATCCCAGCACTTTGGGAGGCCAAGGCGGGCAGATCACAAGGTCAGGAGATCAAGACCATCCTGACCAACATAGTGAAATCCCATCTGTACTAAAATGCAAAAAAATTAGTCAGGCATGGTGGCGTGTGCCTGTATTACCAGCTACTTGGGAGGCTGAGGTAGGGGAATCACTCGAACTCAGGAGGCAGAAGTTGCAGTGAGTCAAGATCATGCCTGCAGTCCAGCCTGGTGACAGAGCAAGATTCTGTCTCAAAAAAAACAAACAAACAAACAAAAAAAAACACTTATTCACCATCTACCCAACCAAGATAATCAATTCCTCTGTCTTATCTTGGATCGCTGCATTCTATGCATATATGTCTTTACAGTTCACTATATATTCAAACTTTAAAATTTTTTGGATGTTTTATTATGTATATATATGATACCTATATATAATAAATATGTAACATTTATATGTAGATACATTTATATATACTTCATACATATACTTGTATGTCTATATATACTGAAGCATTAAAATAAATAACTATAAACCCACCACCCACATATGAGAACTAGAACATTACACCTATTCCAGTTTCTACTTATACGCCTCTTTCCTGGACTAATTTTTCATTTTATCCTAGAATTATCACTATTCTGAAATGTATATTTATAACTCTCTTCATTTTGTTTTTATATCAAGTATATGTGCTCTTATTTTTTAGCACCATATTATTTACTTTGCATTATACTGAGGTTTGAAATTGTAATATAATCACACAATGTACAATTTTTCAGTAGTGAAAATGAATACATTTCAACTACACACAACACCATTAACGAATGCTAGAAATCATAATGTTGAATAAAAGAGAAAGTAGTATCTGACCACATACGTTATGGTTCCATTTTTATTGCAATATATTTTAATTATTTTTAACCTGTATATCTTTCCCACTAGACTATAGTCAATGCATATTTGTTGAATTGAGTTAACTCATTAAACCACACCCATTCTGACTTCCAATCATCTCTTGGATTCTGGGCTATCTGACATTTCTTATTTTGATTTGGCTCCTGAGTCGTCTCCTCCCAAACCTGGTATTACTCTTTGTAATATGGTTTGACACACCATCTATATTTTTCCCTATGTCTGACCTTGGATTGGTCCTATTTATAGTTTTGCTACTTCAGTGTTAGGACCAGCAGGTAGAAGAAATTCCTGACCAATCTATCATTTGAGGAACAGAACTTTCATTTGTCTGTTCCCCTAATAACACACAAAATACAAAACTAGTATATAATGAATAATTACAGCTCTGAAGGATTACATTGACTCAACTTCAATGACGATTCATTCAAACCCTTTATTCTCACTGTGTCAGTAGCTAATATCAGGAATGGCAATGCAATGAAATTCTCTCTGGAAACTGCTTGGTATGTACCACCTTTCCAAATTATTCATTGGCTCCTAGAATAGTTGCATTGCATTAAAAGAGACCATGAAGATCATCACTCTAAAAGCCTAGCAAGTGCAAAAATTGCTTCGATAGCACCACTGTCATATAGTCCCTCAGCTTCAACTTTAACGCTTCCAAAACCACAGAGCTGAGTATGTCAAAGATCATCCATTTCATTATCGAATGGTTCCAAAAAAAAAAAAAATGAAAGCTGGCAAGTTGGACCTTTGTTTGAATCCCTGTTGCATGCATGACCTTAGCCAAGCCTCTTGAAATCTCACAGCCTTAGTTTTCTCATCTATAAATTAATTTAACATACCCACCCAGGAATTTGCCTTATACAGACTGGGTCCTTAATAAGTGTTAAGTCTGTTTTGCCTTCCATTTCTTTTTCCAAATGAAAACCATGCAGGTGTGTAATAGCTTTTGTGAGTCTTCCCTTTCAT
Organism: Homo sapiens; assembly: GCF_000001405.40. NCBI lineage: Eukaryota > Metazoa > Chordata > Mammalia > Primates > Hominidae > Homo > Homo sapiens. The sequence continues at coordinate 80,641,504 of NC_000011.10, forward strand.
AGGCTAAACAATCCTTTTTTTTTCTCTTTTTCTCTATTCCTCAAATCGCATGGTTTTCTCTCTTAGTGATGCCCCAAATCATACTTTCAGTTTTTAAAAAATAATGACATTGGGCCGGGCGCGGTGGCTCACGTCTGTAATACCAGAACTTCGGGAGACTGAGGCGGGTGGATCACGAGGCCACGAGATCTCGACCATCCTGGCCAACATGGTGAAACCCTGTCTCTACTAAAAATTGGCTAGGCATGGTGGCAAGTGCCTGTAATCCCAGCTACTTGGGAGGCTGAGGCAGGAGAATCACTTGAACCAGGGAGGCGGAGGTTGCAGTGAGCCGAGATCACGCTACTGCACTCTAGCCTGGCAACAGAGTTAGACTCCGTCTTAATAATAATAATAATAATCATCATCATCATCATCATCATCATCATCATCATCATGACATTGAACATACTGTGGTCACTTTTATCCACTATTTTTCTTTCTTTTTTTAAATTTTTTTATTTGTTTGAGATGGAATCTCACTTTGTCGCCCAGGCTGGAGTGCAGTGGTATGATCTCTGCTTACTGCAAGCTCCGCCTCCCGGGTTCAAGCGATTCTCCTGCCTCAGCCTCCGCAGTAGCTGGGACTACAGGTGCCCACCACCACGCCCAGCTAATTTTTTGTATTTTCAGTAGAGACGGGGTTTCACCATCTTGGCCAGGATGGTCTCTATCTCCTGATCTCATGATCCGCCCGCCTCGGCTTCCGAAAGTGCTGGGATTACAGGCAGGAGCCACCGTGCCTGGCCTCTTCCCTCTTTCTTATTCCCTCTACCTAATAACTAATAGTGTTAAAATAGGTCATTCTAGCTACAACACCTCTACTACCTAACCTAGGCTAGAAGCCTCCTCTATCACAGGAATCCAGAAAAGAAAAGCAGGAGAAGCCGTGCAATCAGATATGCGGTACATGAGAATGTACACTAGGAAACAGTTTAAAATCCACTATGTGTCTCTTACCGGCTATGTGTCCTTAAGCAAGTCTACCCTGAGCCTCACTTTCTTCATCTGCATTAACAGAGTTAAAAATACCTGCATACGGTGTCTATTCTGAGGATTAAATGAGAAAAATCTCTCCTATAGTGCTTAGAAGTCTTCTAGCCACCTTGCAGAGACTCAGGAGATGGTAGCTATTATTATTTTGTATACTGACTCTGTGTCCTCATCTGTGTGTTACTGGTGTAATAACATCAATACCTCAGAATACAAATATGTAAGCTAACATTTATTCTGATTATTGAAATCAGTTACTCAAGCTACCATCTACCCCGAGGACCACCCCTCCCCTATATTCACACATTAAATTGCCCATGAAACCTGGGACTTTGTGGATTCCAGTGGGGGCAGCCTTATTTTTACACAAATTGCAGAGAGGTCACTGGAGAACCTGAACAGTTTGTGACGGGGATGCCCCTTCTGCTGAGTGGTTTTTTTGTTTTTTTTTTCTCTACCTCATGATGTCATTGGAATCCTCGAATGAAGTAAAGTACGGCCTCCCCATCAGATTGGCTCTTTTTTCAATGATGAGGAAATGTGGAATTTACTTCTTAGGATGCTGTCAGGGAGAAAACAATGCCACTTCCTTAAGGAATATGCTCAACTGGGGCTGTCCGTTGTCAACACTCACTTGGGCATCAGTTCCTGCACCTTAGATTATAATCTCCTAGAGGACTGGGACTGATTTTTATTCTTCCAGCATCTGGTATCCCAGATACTATGAACCAAATTGCTGCTTAGTAAACTATATTAATTGATAATGACTAATTGTAAATATTCAAATCATATTAACCTAGTTTCACTTGAATATCAAAAAAAGTTGAATTTATGATACCAACAAATATGGTTAGGAAAATCATTTTATAGTAGCCATGAATTTTTTAAAAATGAAGTAATTAATAGTGTATATCACTGAAATTCTCAATTAAAGCAGTTATGCGTCTAGAATATGAGCTACAATAACAATAATTCCTTTTACATGTATGTGCATATCTATATATACCTATATGTATGCATTATATTTGTGTAATACATGTATGTATATGTATATGTGCATTTACATATATGTATTTATATTTATTAAGGCTATTTAATCCTCACTGGGAGCATAGGTATCTATATTTTATAAATAACCAAGTGAGGATCTAAGAGGTTAAGGGCCTTGGCCAGGTTTACACAGTAAATTAGTGACCTAGTTTAGACATCAAAATGCAGCTTCTCAGTCTGATGGTTTTATTCTAATATGATTTCCCTATTATGTTCTTTTCTATGATCTCATGAGTTAAACCATAATTTTCTCTAATATAAAAGATGAGTTCTTATTCAGCCTTAATTTCCTACTTGTTTTGTATTCAATGTATACATTCTATTGCCAAGCTTTGCACGTTTTCCTTTCATAAGCTTTTTTATCTTCTTCTTTTTTGTTAGCCCACTCCTAGTGTCTCACTCATTTAACTACATTCAAAAATCTTTATTTAGTACCAAACACATGCCAGAAGCTAACCACAAATTGTCTTAACCTTCTTGCTTATTAAACAAAACAAAATAAAATAAAGCCTTTCTTCTAGAAATTTCAAGTATTGGAAACACTGGAAGTGGTTTCTTCGCCAGTTTCTGCAAATTCCAATCCCATCATGAAAACATTAAGTGTTTCTTACTGGCTTCCTAGTGGGAGACCTGGTGCTAGAATAGTGTTCTCTAAATTTAGCCTGGCTAAATATTGGCTCTGGAAGATGCTCCTTCAAAATGAAGTGCTTCACAGATGCTGTGGTTTGAATATTTGTCCTCTCTAAAATGCAGGTTGAAATTTAGTGCCCAATGTGGCAGTATTGAGGGGTAGGGTTTTTAAGAGGTGATTTGAGTCATGAGGGCTCTGTCCTCATGAATAGATTAATCTGTTCATGGATGAATGGATTGATGGGTTATCATGGGAGTGAGACTGGTGGTTTTATTAGAAGAAGTGAGACCTGAGCTAGCATGCTGTCCCCTCATCATGAGATGCCCTGCGCCACCTCAGGATGCTGGCGAGTGTCCCCACTGGCAAGAAGGCCCTCACCAGATGTGGCCGCTTGAGATTGGATTTCTCAGCCTCTAAAACAGTAAGAAAGAAACTCCTTTTTTAAAAAAATAAATTACCACCTTTCAGGTATTCTGTTATACGCAAGAAAAAATGAACTAGGATAATAGATATAAATTTGTGATTGTTATATACCATAGCTCATAAGCCCATTCCAGTCTCTGTAGTTCTCTTTAAGAAAATAGCTGTTTAAGTTTGCTTAATCTTCTGTTTCCTAAATAAAGCATTTGATTTAATTTTGTTTTAATATGTAATTTCATCAAGAAAATACTTTGGGAACACTAAAATAGATTATGACTTTAGGAATGATGCTTTATTTATGTTTTTATTTCCACTGCCTAGATAGGTCTCTGGTGTGTATAAAACACTTGATATTTTAATCTCTTTTTCTTTTTTGATGAATTAAGGAATATAATATATGTTATTTATGTTTCCCTGTTTATATTGCTGTCCTTCCTCTAACATCTTGCTCCTCGTTTCCTGTTCATACACACATCTCACCTCCAACACCAACATTCTTATTTTATAGTCCTAAGTTCTCCACTCACTCTTCCAGACTTTATCATCTGATTGGGAAATTATTTTGTTGACTCTGATGCCTGAATGCTTTTTTTCTCCATTAATCAAGTGCCTCCTGGAATTCCAATTGCTTTATTTCTACCTAACTTAATCCCAAAGCCTACATAAATCCCAACTCTTTCATAAACATCTCAGATTCAGAGCCAGGGTATCATCCCATTTCCAAATCTGCACTCTCACGGAAGTAGACCTGATACTTGTAATACTTAGCACTTCTATGTCTGTATCTACACTCAGAGCTCGTAACATTTGGGGCCAGAAAATTGTTTAATTTATTGTTATGAGAAATTGTTCTGTATATTGAGGAATGTTTAGCAGTATTCCTGTCACTAAATGCCAGTGACACACCTCCAGTTGTGATAACCAAAAATGACTTCAGAAAAGTGCCAGACGTCACCTGGAGAATAAAGTCTCTCCCCACCCATCTCTGTTGAAAGCCTCTGATTTAAGGCTGTGTCCATATCCATATTCATATTCATATCTTCATTTGGACTGAGAAGTAACATTGATTTATCTTCGTCTATGTTAGGCACCAGGTCCTATAGCATATGTTATCTGTTTTAGTTTTCACGATAATCCTCAGGGGTATTAATAGAACCAATTTAAACATGAGGAAGACATAGCTCAGAGGCAGAAATAACTCAAAACAAAATCAACTATGGTATGCACACATTTCCCTGCACCATATTAGTTACATGAAAACTTCTTAAGGACAGGATCCCCTCTGCTTTAACCTTGCTACCTCCCACTGGACTATCGGGTAGTAGTTGTATAATAAAAATAATAATAAGTTGGTGAATCAAAAGTAATATTCTTAGACTTAGTATATGAGCTTTAAACTTTCTCTGCACTGCAAATTTTCTAGATTTGCCTTACCTATGAGTTGTCTACCTATTTCGTAACCCTATTATATTTATATTAGGTATGTAAATTGGATATAATTGCATTTAAGTGCATTATTAAGTGCATTATTTAATAATATAATTACGTTAATCTTTCTGTCTGTCTTCAAGTTTTGGCATTGTAGTATAATGAAAAATGCATGAGCTTTTCGAATCAAAAGCATGTTAAATTTAAATTCTGACTCCATGCCTAACTGGCTCTGTGGCATTTACTTCAAAAACTAAATATTTCTGTGATCAATGCAAGGAATACAGAGATAAAAACAAAACCCCGACTATCTAGAGATTTATACTCTAGTAAGGGAGAACAAAACTTGAAAAGAAATTAATTTAAATACCAAGATATAACATTAGAAGCACGTGCAAAGTACAAAGTACAGAGATGGCACAGAGGAGGGACGACTTACTTTTATCAGGTAAAGATATGGAACACTTTCAGAGAGATTGTGCTTATGATGGGTGATAAGGAATAGACAGAGCCAGAAGATAAGCCACTTCTACTTCCTGTGTCTCAATTTAGTATTTATAAAATAGGGATAATTATATATCTGATTCATAGGGTGGTTATGAGTATCAAATGTAATGGGACTACAGCATGTTTTGCATAGTGTTGAACAGATAGTAGACGCATAATAAATATTATCTCCTTTCCATTTCCTTTAAAGGACAACAGTTGTGTCATTTATAATTTTTAATAGTTAACCTACTACAAGGCAGTAAGAGAGCTAGTGAGTGAAAAATTTTCATAGATTGCAAAGTTAGTATATTTCTTCTCTTGCTCAGATACTGTAAGAAAATCTTCAAATTCATTGTACATTATCAGTTCCCCAAGGAAGACGAGCAGGTTCTGCATTCCATCTCAAAATGTTGTAAGGCATTTTTATCAGACAAAGGCATCCTTCTCACAAGCCTTCCACAACTTTCTTCCTCTTCTTTAAAACACATACAAACTGTACAACTTGAACATTGTAACAGGTCTGCTTTCTGTTCCATTCAGTGACAGTAAGTACAAGAGCAGAATAGAAAACTCTGAAAAGTAAAATCAAATCCCTAGTGCTTTACACATCTTTCTAAGCCTCTGTGGAGGATTCTAAAGATTGACTCTTCTGTTACTCAAGCTGCTTCACCAACTGCCCTGTCAGAGCTCCAGACTCGGACCCTATTCGGGATCCTTATCCCTGAATGTCCCTTGTTATCAAGATAAGTCTTTATTTCTCTTTGTAAAGTGACAGCAGAGATCTGGGAAGATGAAGAATCTTTTCCCATTGAGCTTCAAATAACTCACTTCTAAAGCAGTTCCATAATTTTCACTGTAGCCATGAGGCTGTGAAGTCTCATTATCACTGACCTTGGTCTTTCTCAGCTGCCATGACCCATGAAGGAAAAAAGGTCAGTGGCTGACATTCTTTCATTCAACCAACATTTACTGAGCACTTGCCTGGTGCCAGGTATGGCGCTGGGCTGCAGGAATATGTCAAAGTTTTATTCACTAAAGACATAATAAGATGAGGACGGATGCTGTGGCTCACACCTGTAATCCCAGCACTTTGAGAGGCCGAGGCGGGTGGATCACCAGGTCAGGAGTTCGAGACCAGCCTAGCCAACATGGTGAAACCCCGTCTCTACTAAAAATACAAAAATTAGCTGGTCGTGGTGGCGGGTGCCTGTAATCCCAGCTATTCAGGAGGCTGAGGCAGGGAATTGCTTGAACCCAGGAGGCGGAGGTTGCAGTGAGCAGAGATTGCGCCAGTGCATTCCAGCCTGGGTGACAGAGCAAGACTCTGTCTCAAAAAAAAAAATGATAACAATAATAATAATAAGATGAATATAATCTGGCCTTATTCATTTCAATAGCTTTATTCCCTTCTTTTTGGAAAGTGGGGTCAGTAAAGAATAGTGAAAATATATTTAGAAAACTTTATATTTTATTAGGCATCTTTACAACTTAGACCTTTTTTTTCTTTTTCTTTTTTTTTTTTTTTTTTTGAGATGGAGTCACTCTGTTGCCCAGGCTGGAGTGAAGTGGCATGGTGTTGGCTCACTGCAAGCTCCATCTCCTGGGTTCAAGCAATTCTCCTGCCTCAGTCTCCCAAGTAGTTGTGATTACAGGCACCCGTCGCCACACCCAGATATTTTTGTATTTTTAGTAGAGACGGGGTTTCACCATGTTGGTCAGGCTGGTCTCAAACTCCTGACCTCGGGTGATACACCAACCTCGGCCTCCCAAAGTGCTGGGATTACAGGCGTGAGCCACCATGCCCGGCCACTACTTCAACCCTTAAGGTCACTCTGGGCTTCATAATATATAATCCAGAGCAGCTTTATAATGTGGCTCCAGTCTTCATGTGTAGGGATATCCTGAGCTAAAGTTCAGCATGAGGCAATTTCTGTCGTTAGTGAAAGGATGTGTCTACAGTTTATTGCATTTAGCTTACCCTAGAAGCTTAAACTACCCACTTGAGGTGTGAATGAACCTTGTATTTAATGATTAGTGGAGATTGTTTGCAACTGATCTTGCAAATTACACTCTTCACATCTCAAAGGGACTTTATTTTGCAAGGGTATTCAATGACTCCTGTTAGATCTGTTCTAAATACACATAAACACAAACAAGATGCTCCACAGTTTATAACCATCTTTCCCCTTTACATAGTACTGAAACAGTAGTGAGTACAGTATGGTAACTGAGGGAAATTCACCAGACTAGTTGTGATAAGGGAGGATCAAGCTTAAGTTTCTTTCGCAGCTCTGCTGAATCTGTCAGCTATTCAACTTGGGAGATTCAGAAGAGTTGTAGAAAAACTTAAGCTTGGCTTGAAATGTCAGCATTTAAGGCATCAGATGGAAGGAGTTAGGGCATCTGGAGTTTGGCCAACCTATAGAGGTTGGAGATACTAAAGTAATACCTGGAAAGCCAAGCACAGGGCCTGGACTCCAGGAAAGGGGTTAGCAGACTTACTATGTGCCAGGTCCACAGCAGACCAGAGTCTGAGGACCAGGGTCCTCTCTCTGTGGAGACTGGAGGGAGAACCAAGGGCCCAGACAGCAGCCAGTCTAGCCCCACAATCACACCTGATAGTGGACAGATCTCTGTCATGTCCTGGGGCTCCTGAAAGTGCCCAGTTTTGCTTATAAACATGCAAAGGGAGCATCTGGTGTGCGATCTGCAGGCTGTGTCTAGACGCTGTGTTTTAGTAGGAGAAAATCACCTACTTTCTACCAGGCCAGATTATCAGTGATCCAGGCATAAGTCAGGGCAGAAGCAACAGAGTACATGCTGTTTCTGGGGCAGGCTGAAGCCAGCATAGATTAGCATTTTATAGATGTGATGAGAGAGGCTCAGAAAGGCTGTGGAGCTTTCCGAGTTCATGGAACAAGGAAGAGGTCCAACCACTATTTGAAGCTTACTACCTCACTTGTAATGCAAATTTGCCTATTATTTGTGCGTACCTGTGTTCGTGTATTATGTGAATATACCTACTTCAGCACACAACATACATTCTTTAAATGATTCAGTGAATGAATATATGATATAAGGTAGAATTTATCCTGTTTGAATATAAAGATATTTATTCATTCGTTCAATAAAGACAGGAAAGGTACCTGCTAAATGGAACTTACATTCATAAGAGGGGAAGAATTAATACTCAAGATTTTAAATAGTTGAACAGGACTGTTTCAAATAATATGAGCGTTGTGAAGACATAAGATAGAATACTGAGATAAGAATTTTGCCTTTATCTTTATACAAAGGCAACAATGACTAAATGCAGGTTAATGAAGCATGAAGGGAACTAATTCTGCCTTCTCCATGAAACAGCGTACCTACCATTTATTCTCCTTCCCCTAATCACATTTTCTGGTTTGGTGGCCACATCATGTACACTTTCTGTTATTTTCCTAAAATACATCAATAACGTTTAATTTGAGAGAATCCGAACCAAACGTGGGGGAAGAGCAGCAGGGTGAGCTTTGGGGTCTGGGCTGAACCTTTCTCTTCAGAGAACCAGGTTATCCAGTGGCTGACCTACGAATTGTGCATAGTCAGTACTCAGTAAAAATTCCTTTTCTCAGCATCAGGAGAACAAGGAAAAACAGAAAATTCACCTCTTGGATATTCCCATAGCTCTTGACTGACCTTGCACCAAGCACAGACTAGGTTTTGAAATACATCAGAAGTTTAAATTCAGTTATCTTTATCAACTCCTTGCCCACATCAGCTTAAGCTCAATATGTCCCAGGAATAACTTGAAGGTTGTTATGTATAAAGTTAAAAGGAATATTGAAAGCAGAAATATGATTTATAGAAAAGGGAATCTTTTCTACAATATTCTACTTTCTTTTCTTATTAATGAAAGAACAGAGAAATTCAACCTTTAATTCTAACTGGAGCATCCACATTGATGAGCTACTAATCTCACGTGCCTCAGGCTTCCTGTTTGTAAATAAAGAGATGGCCTGATTGTTTTCAGGCTTTAAAGTAATTTCATGTTCATGTACATTCACATATATAAAATACATAACACAGTGCTTGGCACATAGTATACACTCAATAAATATTTTTTTTCTCCTCTGTAAGGAGTTCTGGCTTTAATTTCAAACAAGTCACAAACTGAAACCATAAAGATGAAAATAAAGAATATAAAATTTGAAAATGTGTAAATTACTGAAAGCACAAGAACCATTAATTGTCAGTGATGGTTCTCATTAAACTAGCAGCATATGTTGCTATTATAAGGATGTTTCTCACGAGCTCCTGAGAGGTCTATTAAAAATAAAATCCTATTATTCCAGATGTTTCACATCCATGTAATACACCCACAATAATTAATTTCATATGGGCTAAATTCATAAATCTAGAAAACTAGAAAGACATGTTATTCACCGTAGAAGGCATCTTGTATCCTATTTATAATCTGACTGAAATGCTAAAAAATGCCATTAATTACAAGGAAACCCACTATCATTTTTCTTTATCCTAGAATGGACTTTGAATTTGAAAATACTCCATTACCATTATAAAGGCAGCATCTGAGCAAACAAAGAGAAGAAAGTTGCTGCCACATCTGCTGCTGCAGCTAAGGCCACTCCTCCTGGTGGCCTTATGGCTTGAGATTGCTGCTGCCATCCCTCGGTGGCCTTAGCTGGGCCCTGCTTTGTGCCAGAACTGTGCTAGGTACTTCATGAGTATCATGACTTTTCTTCACAATATCCTCATTAGAGAGTCTTTCCTTGATAAAGGTAGAGGCTCAAAGAAGTGAAATAACTGATCCAAGGTCACAACTCCTAAATGATAAAGCTAGGATTTGAACTCAGATCTCTAGCACCAACATCTGACCTCTTCCCATATTACTAAGCTGCCTCTCTAAGATAATAATAAAAGCTTTCATTTATTGTGTGCCTGATCCAGCCTGCCAGATAGCCTGAGATAGAAAGAAGAAAAAACAAAAACAAACAAAACACAAAGGGGACTCTCCAATATAGAGTCCGAAGGTCAACTACTGCAACTGCCACTCAATGTCAGAATACCCTTCACAGAGGCTTGACAAATAACTAAATGGTCACCCAGAGTTCATTAAACCCTGTACCTCTTGAAGGCAGAGATTCAACTTCTTTTATATTCTAGCACCTGTTGTGCGTTCTGGTATGTAAAGTCAATGTTAATTAATTTATTTATTTTTTAAGATTCTGACTTTTTTTATTTTTTCCCCTTTTACACAAAACAAAGTAGAAGAAATAATAAAGGATTAAAACTGCAAAAGTAGTTAATTATGTAGAACATGTATACACAAAAAAATGTGTATACATGCAGTAGAACACGTATACACAAAAAAATCCAGATAGGAAGACAGGCTTATTTACAATTAAAGTAAGGTAAAATTAAGGTAGCTTTCTTATGAAATATTTTTTTAAAAAATGAAACATATGCTACAATAGGCACCACTGTTTACAGCAATATTAAAGAGGCGAAAACAACACTCATTTAATAGTCACAGATATACCACAAGGTACAACATCGGTGCAATAAATTCACAAAACTATATTACAGCCTGTTAATCAGTTTAAGAACTGATTAACAAGTCAGTCACATTTTTGGCTCTCATTCCTACAGATTTCATTCCTACAGATTTCAACTACTCTAAATTTCTAGCTACTGAGAAGTTAAGAATGATTATGAGAAACTTTCCTAGGAGTTACAAAATCTTTGTAGACCAGAGGCCAACTATCATCACCTCAAGTCTGCTCTCACCAACAGCCCTTGTATTTTTCAGGGAGAAATCTCTAGGAAAAAAGTCAGACTCCAGTGTAGTCACTATCTCCCATGCCAAACCCAGGGGACTAAAATGGCCAGTATTACCATAAAGCGAGAATTTTGAGGTTTACCTTAAAAGGCTTATTCTGGTCTCAAAAATTAGTCAGATAAGATTATCGTCTACTGAAATGAATTTTGCCTAAACACGGAAGACTGCTGTCCTTTACTGCTGGTCTTAAAGTCATAGACATGAGTCTTAACCTACTGTATACTATAGCTAAAATCAGTTGAAAATCTGAAATTAAAAGTATGCTAGAAATCCTAAATGCAATCTTTTGGAAGTCTGCTATTAAAAAGTCTTTAAGGATTTACTAACTTCAAGTCTAAGTGCAAAGGGACTAAAGCTTAAGCCTGTCAGGCATTCCTTTTTATGGACAAAAAGATCAAAGTTTCCTACAAATTGCTAAGCTTTGCACAAGGGAGAAACCTACTCATACTAGTGCATGGAATCAGTTTCATTTTATTCCATGGGGACTCTTCTCCCATGGGAAAGAAACAGAATAAGGAATGAATCTTAATTGGTCTCTTCATCAGAAGTGGTAAACTTGGTCTCTATATTCACAAAGTCAGACAGTTTTTTAAGCAGGCTATGGAAGCAGATAGTAGAACCAGCTTCCTGTAGCCACAGACCTTGTATCTAGCAAAAGCAAAGACAAACTTGAACAATTATCCAGAGTCACTTGAACTGCCCTTTAGTACAGTTCACCACTATAAAAAGGAAGTTGTCTAAAAGCCAAAATTCAATTAACCTGAGTAAGAAAAATCAAAACAAGTCATACACACTAATGAGTTGTCCATGAGGCCAACTGGTAAGAACACACTCAACTATACGCAACATGAAGACACTATGCACAAAGCATTACTTGGCGAGCCTGAATTTCTATTAACTAAGAGCAGAGTAAGGGAGAGCAAAGAGCTACTTCCATAACATTTTAGTATCCAGATAGTACAGCAGAAACCATTCCCAGGGGCAATGGGTGCTCCATTAATCACACTGAATAAAGCAGATGAATTATTCATTTTTCTATTCTTTTTGTTTGAGAAGTTTGGTTAGCTCCCTTTTGGCCACTCCAATGTACTTCGAAATGATTCCATGTTGGTTTAGTCCAGGAAGCAATAGTAAGGAAGTCACTATCAGGCAGGTGAGAAGCAGGTTGTGGACTTGCTGTCCCACGTAAGCAACCTCAGCAAGGGAAACGATCATGGTCATGAAGCATATCTTAGGTTTTTCTTCCTTTAGTGTGAAGAGGCGTTTCCACCAACCCACAGCTCTGCATCGAGTTTTTACCAGATTGCTGCAAATTTCATGGAATCGTTGTTGTTCAGTGGTCTATTTATTGGAGCCAAAAATTCTAGGCACCAGAATGGGAACAAGGTAGTCAGCCAAATGGATCTAGATAGTAGATAATGAGAAACATCAAAGAAACCACACCATGGCAGGTGGAAACCAGGTTGTTTCCCATCAGAGGACTTTATCAGCATCAGCATCACTTCTCCCCATCCTCACAGCTGTTTTTGCAGACTTGCAGTCTCTGTAGCCAGCAGGTTGGTGATGTGATTATCTCCCTCTGCCATCATTTCTAAGATGCCATCTCTGTGAGTGCAGGCCACCTTCCCAGTGAATCTTCCTACCGAGATCTGTACGGTGACCACAGCACCAGAGTCAATGTTCATCAAATGACAACTTATCACATGGCTGAAGAACACATGAATTTGGGCTATAGAAGAATAGTCATTCCGCAGGTGAGATTTCAAGTTTATGAAGTTGAGGATTAAATGTGGGTAAATATAATATCTAGAAGAAATTATTTACTGCTTTCAAACTTAAGACTAGAACCCACTGAAACAGCATTGTTATCACATAAATGTAGCAGGATGAGCTGCAGACAAGAACCCCTCAGACATCGAGCTGTAGAAGGAAAAGGCTTTATTCAGCTGGGAGCATCGGCAGACTCAACGTCTCCAAAAACTGAGCACCCCGAGTGAGCAATTCCTGTCCCTTTTAAGGGCTTACAACTCTAAGGGGGTCCGTGTGAGAGAGCCGTGATCGATTGAGCAAGCAGGGGGTACGTGACTGGGGGCTGCATGCACCGGTAATTAGAACGGAACAGAACAGGACAGGGATTTTCACAGTGATTTTCTATACAATGTCTGTAATCTATAGATAACATAACCGATTAGGTCAGGGGTCAATCTTTAACTACCAGGCCCAGGGCACGGTGCTGGGCTATCTGCCTGTGGATTTCATTTCTGCCTTTTAGTTTTTACTTCTTCTTTCTCTGGAGGCAGAAATTGGGCATAAGACAATATGAGGGGTGGTCTCCTCCCTTATAAATAATAGCTATGTTAATAATTAACATTTATTCAGCACTAGCTATGTGTCAATCACTATACCAAGAACTTTGAATTATAAACACAACTAATCCTCATAACAACTCTATGAGATATATAATATTATCTCTGAACTCAGGGAATGTAAATAAAAAAGGTCATACAGCTAGTAAGATATAGAGCCAGGATTCAAACAAAGGCTGTCTGGCCCCAGATCCTGCTGGCCACCACCATTCTAAACACTCCTTGGGAACTCAAGCTAAGCTAATGGGATACCATGGAATTGTGAGTTTTTTTTATCTATTTATACTTTTCCCATTAAATATTTTTGCACCATAAGAAAATTAACTGGAAAGCTAAACTGTTTTTGTTTGTTTGTTTGTTTACCTGGCTGCAGAAATCAGGAAAAGTCAGGATGAAAAAGACATGCTCTAACAAGCTGGAGGGGCTAGATGCCAAACTGCTAGAACATGTGACATGTGCTATCACCTTTCATCTTCTCTTGTACTATGGTTGGTGCCAGTGTGATGTAGTGGTTCAGAGCTTTGGCTTTCAAGTCAAATAGAGCCAAGTTCAAGTCCAGCTCTGATGCTTACTAGCCAAGTGATCTGGACAGGCCAAAGACCTTGAAATCCTTCACATATAAAATGTGCCTAGTTATAATATCTCTTTACATTAGGGGATACTAGAAAATTTAAACAAAATAATACATGCAAACTTTTAGTACAATGCCTGGAATATATTGAAATGTGTATATAAATATTATTGTTATTAGCTCCTCTTTTACAGCTGTGAAATAAGAAGGTCTAAGGTATCAACTAGATGCTCAATAAAGTTTTTGTGCCTATAATCCCAGCACTTTGGGAGTCCAAGGCAGGCGGATCACCTGAGGTTAGGAGTTTGAGACCAGCCTGACCAACATGGAGAAACCCCGTCTCTACTAAAAATACAAGATTTGCCGGGATTGGTGGTGCATGCCTGTAACCCCAGCTACTCGGGAGGCTGAGGCAGGAGAATCGCTTGAACCCAGGAGGCAGAAGTTGCAATGAGCTGAGATCGCACCATTGCACTCCAGCCTGGACAAGAAGAGTGAAACTCCATCTCAAAAAAAAAAAAAAAAAAAAAAGTTTGTGGAATAAACAAAGGCTCACATAAATGAATGAATAAATAAATAAGAGAAAGCCACAGGCTCTCCTTTGTCTTGTTTCCAAGCAATAGCAGCAAAGAGGGAATTCCTATTCTTCTAGCAGTTTCAAAAAAACAGCCCATTTGTGATGTTACCAAGCATAAGCCCTCCCTCCCCCAGTGGTCCTATGTTCAGTGTTAGCGCTAACCATTTGTATGCTCCGGGTGGGGTTGCCCTCTGCTCCACCTCCAACCAGGATTAAAGAGTGTCACAAGTAGCAGAAATCTATTCCTCCAAACTTCATGTTATGTAACAGAAAGTCAACTGAATAAAATAAAGTAAGCAAATAATTAATGAGCCCATATTCTTCTTTCGGGTTGATAACATTTTGCCAAAACATGGCTTCTAGTAGCTATTATTATTAAGACTTTCACTTATACGACTTTACACATGTTGGTAAGGCTTTTCATGTGTATTACATGATGTCATTTTCACCATTATCCTGTTGGTTGAGTTGCTGGGATATCAGCATCTCTCTTTTGTGATGTGGAAACTGGGGCTTGAATCATTTGCATGAATTGATCCAAATCCCGTAATCACAAGGCCAGAGAAATAATTTTATCAAATCTTGTTTCTCGCTTAAAACTCTGCCACTGTGTCTTACTACTCTCAGAGTGAAATCTGATCTCCTTTCTGTGGATACCTATATGGCCTGGCTCCTGCAAACTTGTCTAATCTCATTTCAGGCAGTTTTTTTCTTTTTCTTTTTCTTTTTTTTTTTGAGACACAGTCTCACTCTGTTACCCAGGCTAGTGTGCAGTGGTGCCATCTTGACTCACTGCAACCTCTACCTCCTGGGTTCAAGCTGTTCTTGTCCCTCAGCCTCCCAAGTAGCTGGAATTACAGGCACCCACCACCACATCTGGATAATTTTTTTTTATATTTTTAGAAGAGATGGGGTTTCACCATGTTGGCCAGGCTCGTCTCGAACTCCTCACCTCAAGTGATCCACCTGCCTTGGCCTCCCAAAGTGCTGGGATTACAGGTGTGAGCTGCCATGTCTTGCCCTCTGTCTCTTACTCATTATGCCCCCACAACATGGGCTTTCCACTAAAGGAAGGTTCTCAGCTCTTTCCTGCATCAGGCCCTGCACATGGTCTAACGACACAGAGGCATCCAATCAGCAGAGCACTGGGAAGAACACAACTGGGAGGTACATCTGCAGGTAGTGGGGCACAGGCTCCATGCCTATCGGGACACTTCTGCTCCAGAATTCTATGAGGCTTCTTTAGATTCAAAACTTGGTGTTATTGGGTAATACTAAGCTGATCATCATCTAGGAAGTAACCACGGAACAATACAACTTGATGATGATTTTATTTGATAATTGTGGTGAAAATATTTAGGGAGGGCAACTAACATTATTCAGCACTTGCTACGTGATGTTTTCTTAATTTTATATAAGGATTATCATAGAGGAAAATAGATTTGATGCAATAAAAATAACTCATTCAAGGATACACAGTTTTTAAGTGCAAGTTGGTATTGAAACCTAAGTTTATTTGGTTCTACTACACATGACATTTCCCCTCTGAAAAGATGACTTTATACTATGTTAAAAGAATTACTCAACTAAGGCTGTTTTAATTTCCTCACAAAAGAAAAGATTGGTTCAAGATACAGGAATGGTGTTAATTTTGAAAGGGGAGTCGGCAGGCTCTGTGTCTGGAGAACAAAGCTGAGAGGACTGGGAGCTAGAGGGGCCCTGACAGGAAATTATTTTAGAGAATACATTACTTATAAGATAAAATCATGGAAAAATGTTGTTTGAGTCAAGTTGCATAACTCTACTGGCTCTAACTTATTATGCATTAACAAGAGACATTTAATAAAAGCTTTACCTCTCTTTAATTCAACTGTTTCAATCATTGGAAACAAACAGCACAATTAAATTACATCTTAAAGACTTGTCATCCCAAGATAATTCATGATGGATTTTCAAAGGTTTTATGCTAAGAGAATCTTCCCAAGAAATGTATATGGATAAAACGTTCTGAAAAACAATGTGGAATAATGTCTGGGCTTGAGAATCAAGAGATCTCTGTAAAGATGCACCTCATACATTTACTAAGTAATCATAGAACACTTCACAATCTAATTTTTATTGTACTAACTGGCAAGCTGGCAAATGGGTGAAACCTTAATATATATTTACAGGGCTACTGTTAAATATATTTAAATATTTTATATCAAAATGTTGAAATTTGGCATGCTTATGCATATTATAAAATGAATAAATGAATGAATGAGCCTATGAGTACTTTGAGATTATTTAAAATAATCTTACCAATGTATACCTAATGGTGGTGGGGGTTTTTTTGTTTTTTGTTGTTGTTGTTGTTGTTTGTTCTTTTTTTTTTTTCTGGAGTGCAGTGGTATGATCTCAGCAACCTCTGGCTCCCGGGTTCAAGTGATTTTCCTGCCTCAGCCTCCCGAGTGGCTGGGACTACAGGCGTGCACCACCATGCCTGGCTAATTTTTGTATTTTTAGTAGAGGCAGTGTTTTGCCATGTTGGCCAGGCTGGTCTCAAACTCCTGACCTCAGGTGATCCACCTGCCCGGGACTCCAAAAGTGCTGAGGTTACAGGCATGAGTCACTGCATCTGGCAGTGTTTTTATTTCAGAGCTAATTAATTTATTACTCACATTAATTCTAATTATACTTCAATTTGCTAGAGCATAGGATCACTATTGTTTAGTGCTAATGGTCTTTTAAAATTACTAGAAAACAACAACATAATAATAAACTTATGCTCACAAAATCTATCACCTGTCCTTATTTAATCTCTTTTAGTTGACACTAGTATGGTTAAAATCACCAAAACTTTTATTTTATACTTTTATCAAACAAAATAAATTATCTTTTGCCTCATTTTTTTTTTCTTTTGGAACCAACTCAAGTTTCCATTATCTTCATGATGCCTTTGGAAATGTAAAAGCTTTATTTATATGCTAACTGATTTTTAAGATATCATAAAATTGTATTTCTCACTTTGCCCACATCAGATGAGATATTTTGCTTGATTGACTCAATGATTTTTTTAATGGCTTTTTGAGTTAAAAAGCAGTCAAAGACTGAGCGTGATTTTCCCAGTCTGTGACTCAGGTTCCCAAGCTGAATCTGATGATACCCAGTAACAACAAAGTCTAATGCTGTAGAGTAAATATCTATAATGTGAGTGTGTTATGGGTTTGTTTGTGCATGGGATCACAAGTATCTATAATATGAGCCAATATTTCCCATCTCTTGCACACAGAACAGAACATTGCTGGTCAATTGCCAATATTCCCCTAAACCTACTTTTCAACTTCTTGACACAAAGCTTGAATTATAAATTTGTCATCAGTACCTTATGAAATAAAATGTATCTATATCTACTCACATAGGCTTATAGATATAATGCTTTATATTAGAGGAAAAGAGAAAGAATTATAAGTGGATGATGCAACTTTTCTGGAACAACTGGATACCTAGATTGATAAGAGAATTAGCCAATGTTACTGACGTAAAAGCCCATCAGTATTTAACCAGAGAGCTTAATTTTGTATGAGGACCTGGTGGTAGTTTTAGAATGAATGCCTAGAACCCTTGCCTTCAAGGCAGCCCTTCTTAAACTACATCCACATGAATACACATACCTTGAATATATATTATGAAGAAAAATGGTGCTATGATTCTGGGGATTGTTCTACTGAAGACCTGTCTTTTGAAATCCTAATTGGCTCTGGGTATTAATTAGTATATTCTATACAATAAAATACTTTCTCTTATCTTATTGTGTGGTATACTGGAAAAAAGTCTTAATACCCACATAAAGCTAATATTGGTTTTTGTTTGTTTGTTTGTTTGTTTTGTTTTGTTTGCTATATACCATTTCAGGGATGCCTTGAACTCCAGAATTACCTGAATGTAAGATTTTCATATCAAAAAGCTATGGCCAATTTTATATTCATCTCTTCATCAGGAGATCCTAAATTAGGGGTCCCCAAGCCCCCCATTAGGAACCAGGCTGCCCAGCAGGATGTGAGTGGTAGGCAAGTGAGCATTACCATGCTATATGGAGGGGACAGTAGCATCCCAAACCTAGTTGAGAAAGAAGATGAAAAAAAAACATTCAATAAGAACTTAGGCAAACTTACAAATATAGATGACATACTTTCCACTTAATGACCTGGATAGCGCCTGTTCTCTCTTTTTTTTTTTTTTCCACTTTCTGAGGCCATTTGACTATGCCCAGAATCTGGAACAATCCTTCACAGTACAGATCATGTTTGCAAAGAGTTAGTTGGGGTACGACAGCTAAAAATCACATCTAAATATTATTAAATCTTATTTGATGGATATCTTAATAAAAGACTGAGCGCATAACTGGTTCTATCCTGTCTGAAAACACTATCCAGTGCCCCAATTTTCCCAAGATTGGTACTAAATCAGACCTTCTGTGACTTAATTCCTGCTGTGATGTTATGTCCTAGTTTTGATAATTGCACACACTCCCTAGTTTCTGTTCATTCACTTAATAATTACTTATTGAATACCTAATATATTTCTAGAATAGTTATTAGATATTTTGATACAGAGATAAATAAAAATAGCCATGGTGCTTGTGACCTAGTTGGAAGAAACTTATATTTACACTCTATATTTAAATAGAGTACTGTTGGAGCACAGAGAAGGAGCCAGTTAAGGCTGGTTCAAGGAGTCAGGAATGGTTTCTCAAGCAAGAGAAACCTGGGTTATGTCTTGAAATAAGAAACCATGGTTTGATGTGCTTAGAAAGACAAGAGAGGAGGCCGGGCATGGTGGTTCACACCTGTAATCCCAGCACTTTGGGAGGCTGAGTGGGGTGGATCAGGAGACTGAGACCATCCTGGCCAACATGGTGAAATCCCGTCTCTACTAAAACACAAAAAAATTAGCCGGGCGTGGTGTCAGGTGCCTGTAGTCCAAGCTACTCAGGAGGCTGAGGCAGGATAATTGCTTGAACCTGGGAGGCAGAGGTTTCAGTGAGCTGAGATCGCACTACTGCACTCCAGCCTGGCAACAGAGTGAGACTCATCTCAAAAAAACAACAAAAGAAAGATAAGAGAGGAAATGGCATGTGTATAAGCATTGGAAAGCAAAAGTTAGTCTGGAGTGCATGTTGTTTATGATTGCTGAGGCGGGATTGTGGCATGGTAATGACAAGCAACCTCTCTCTAGAGATAGGCTGGGGCCAGATTGTGAAGGGTCTTTGATGACATGCCGGAGTTCAGTGTTCGAACTGAAGGTTGGTGATACCAAGCAAGCAGTATATCAGAATTACCTCAGGAAATGTGTTCAAATACAGATTCCTGATCTCACCACAGATAATTGAGTTAATATTTCTGGGGATGCACCCAGAAACACTATTTTTAAGGAGCTCCCTGATGATACTAATCTGCAGCTGGGTTTTGGAACCACTTGGGGAGGCAATGTTGTATCCATAATCTAACTCTGTCAAGGTTGAGGTCTTGGCTTGCTGTCAGCAGTTCCCCCCAGAGAATGATATTCTGCTTCTGAACACCAGCCCTACCACTAAAATGCTATCTATCCAAGTTGTCCTCCAAGGCCACACAGGTATGTAGAAAACAAGTGGAAAGCAGAATCCAGCACTCCTGGAATCCAGTCTATATTTTTCTGTTTTCCTTTTCCTTGTGTAGGTGGTGTGAGCAACATATAGTTTGCCAAAGAGGACAATAATCAGATCATTTTAATGTATATAGGCAATTTATTGCCCCAGAGACAGGATGGATCCAGGGACAAGATGGATCTGTCAGTAACAGACATCCTAGAAAATGAAATATTCATTCCTTTCTAATATGTTTCTTTTTGTAATCTCATTGTTTATCTCAGCATGGTTTTTTCCACTGAGAGCTGAAAGTCCCTTGAGAGCACAAATGTTACATTTATTATTTTAGTATATCAGCTTTCAACACATAGCCAAATACCTAGTATATACTGAGAAAATGCTTATTGATTTAATGAATGAACCAGTTCCAATAATTGTAGTCACTTATTAATGCTGTTTAATAGTTTGTTTTCTGTCACTTGCCTGCCTACCCTATCCCCACTTGGCTTGTGAGATCCTCAAGGGAAGGAGCTAGTTTCCAGCCCAGAGTTTGAGATGGAGTAGGCACATGGTAGATGCATGTTAAACAAATCAATAACGTAATGCAAAGAGTCTTTCATCTTTGTTTAAATGAGAAGTCAAATTAAGCCAGGGATTCTTCCTTGTTCAATTCTTCCCTCCTCACCTAGAGAGACTGTAGGCGGAGACACGATTTAAACACCAGAAAACTTTGACTTTTTCTTCACAACCTTTCCTCTAATTAAGAAGTTGAAGTTTTTATAAGCTAGGCTTGCCCTATGGGAATCCTGAAAAGGTCTAGAAGGAGTGCCAAGTGAGTAGGTAGGTGTCTTCTTTGAGAGATGTGTGGAACAAGAAGAGGTAGGGAGTGATGCAGAAGTCATGATGAACATAGAACTTTCCTGGGCTAAAGCAGGCACTCATCTCTGGCATATTCAGTGTAGATTATTTCAAATAACATTGACAAGCCTCAGCCATCTGGGAATAATTTGGCCATGCCTTACTTCCCTGACCTTTTTAAGCTCCAGGTACTCCTTTGACCGTAACTGTCAAACTTTGACAGCTTGAGTAAGGATGAGAAAATGGCTCCTCTCAAAGAATATAACAGCACCCTTTTAAAAACAGCCTCATCTATTCACAGGCATTCCCCCAGCTTCAGAGGCCTTTATTCTCACAGATGTGCAGAGACTCTAAGAGTGGTATTAGGGTCATTGGATGGTGTCTCAGTCAGCTCAGGCTGCTATAACAAAACATCAAAGACTGAGTGGCTTAAACAGTACATATTTACTTCTCATAGTTCTGGAGGCTGGACACTCAAGTTCAAGGTGCCAGCAGATTTGGTTATTGGTGAGCGCCCTCTTTCTGGCTTGCTGACGGACACTTTCTTGCTTTACCCTCACATAGTGGAGAGGGAGTGACAGAGAACTCTCATCTTTCCTTCCCCTTATAAAAAACTAATCCTGTCTTGGAGCCCCATTCTCATAATCTCATCTAAACCTAATTACTTCCCCAGAGCCTCACCTCCAAATACCATCACAATAGGGGATTAGGGTTTCAACATATAAAGTAGGGGATTGAATAACATTCAGTACTGAACAGATGGAATTGAGAAGGAGGAGACAATAAAGAATAGCTAAGGAGATCTAGCTAAAAGAATATAAGTGTATGGGATATCTTTCTGTCCAAAGTAAATAATTACATACATATTAAGGTGTATGTCTTATTTGTTATATTTCTAACATGAAACATTATTTGCCTGAGAAATGCTACTTTAGTCATTCATTCACACATCCATGAAATATTTATTCAGTACCTTCTAGATGCTACAGTGAAAAAGACAACAAGCCATATCTCTAAAATTTTGACTATTATATTCCAAATTAGGTGTCCCCAAGCCCCCTGTTAGGAACCAGGCAGCCCAGCAGGAGGTGAGTGGTAGGCAAGCGAGCATTACCACCTGAGTTCTGCCTGCTGTCAGATCAACAGCAGCATTAGATTTTCATAGGAGCATGAACCCTATTGTGAACTGAGCATGCAAGGGATCTAGGTTGTGTGCTCCTTATGAGAATCTTATGCCTGATGATCTGAAGTGGAACAGTTTCATCCCGAAATCATCCCCACCCTAGTCTGTAGAAAAATTATCTTCCACGAACCTGGTTCCTGGCGCCAAAAAGTTTGGGGACCGCTGATCTAAATGACAGGTGATTGTGGCAAGGACCAACTAACCAGATAGTAACTAAGATTGTATGGGACAGCATAGGAGGACACTCAGATAATGAAATGCTTCAAGATGTAGCAAGAGCCATGGTTGGGGTCAGTACTCAGAGAATCTTCATAGATGAAATGACCCCTCTGCTAAAACATGAAGAACAGGTGCAACTTTCACAGTTGGACAATTTTTTTTTTTTTTTTTTTTGAGATGGAATCTCACTCTGTCATCCAGGCTGGAGTGCAGTGGTGTGATCTCAGCTCACTGTAACCTCTGCCTCCTGGGTTCAAGCAATTCTCTGTCTCACCCTCCTGAGTCGCTGGGATTATAGGTGCCTGCCACCACGCCCAGCTAATTTTTGTATTTTTAGTAGAGATGGGGTTTCACCATCTTGGCCAGGCTGGTCTTGAACTCCTGACCTCATGATCCACCTACCTCAGCCTCCCAAAGTGCTGCGATTACAGGCATGAGCCACCGTGCCTAACCCATAAATATTTTATGAATCAGTATGTATGAAAGTCTAGAGATTTGGGAGCCCATAGTCTTCCTTGAATTGAAAATAGCCAGTACTGCTATAGCAATGAGTGGTAGAATATGTATATGACAGGGAGGAGTGGAAAGAAGACAGAATAGAGAGGATGGAGAAGAGAGAGTTGGGACTAGAGCCAGAACATGAAGGGACCTGCATATAGTATGGAGTAAGGACTTTATCTTGAGAGCACTGGGCTTTGTTGAATGATTGTAGTCACCTGAGTGATGTGATCATATTTGAGCTTTATAGGCATTCTGATAGCACTGTGTAGGGTGGATGACAAACAGGAGGTCTAGAGATAAGTTTCATTGGCCCAAATGAGAAACAGTGGCTTGAATGGCATTGGTTCAGAGTGATGGGCAGAACTGGTACACTTGACTTATATTCAGGCAGTAGAATCCATAGGACTGAATGATCGGTGTTGGAAAACAAATGAGAGAAATCTAGGATGCTTTTCAAGATAACGGCTTCTTTTGTACTCAGGAAATTTGTTGAATCAGCACAGAAAGTCTCCCATTCACTTCTAGGTTAGAGCTTCATGGACCGCAGGTAGGGATCAATAACTAGTGTCCAAACCACACTTCAAGTATACCTACATATTGATTTTTGAAATTGTTTTACATATCAAGATGAGGGGTACAAAAAGATGGCAATTTTACAATTATTTTACTGACTTTAAAAACTCCCCCCAAAAAATAATTACTTCAAGTATTATTCAGGAATTAATAATATTAAAGAGAGTTATATACACGAAGGGAACAAAACTTATTGTTGCAAACATCATTATCCTGAATGAACTGGTGAGAGGTATATCACTCCTTCAAGAAGATATACTTTTTAAGAATCTATTCTTCTTGGGATGTGTTTTCTCTTAAAAGAGCTCTACATACCTAGAATACATCTCAGAAACACCAAAGGGGGATAACAAACACAATTTGCAGACTCCATAGTTTTACCAAGTTTTGTTTTCTTTTGTTTTGCATAGAAACAACCAAAGTAAATGTTAAACTTATTTTGGTTAAAACTGAGGAGTTTTTTTTTTTTTTTGGACTGAGATAGCCTTACAACGCTATGAATTCAATCCTAACTCTCATCATATGTGATTTTGCACAAAGTCACTTTCATTGTGGGATGCTCTTCCTTCTCTGAAACATGAGTATTGCAGGTTGTACTAGGCATTGGATTAAACAAACTACATGAAGATACTTTAAACTACAATCAAAATGTATAGTGTTCCTATTTTCCATTGTGAATAGAGGTCAGAATCGGAACATTTGAAAAGCAATGAAAATGAGCAAAAATTTATCTGTGGACACGGAGGAATAGATAAGAAGCCACAGTATTTCTTTTCCCTTCCAAGTTAGGAAGGCTGCCATTGCCTCCATGGTCCTGAGCACATTAAGGTCATCTGTTGGGAAGAGCAGCGGTATGAAATTTTAGAAAGCATCTGTTTTGGTGCAGAGTATTTCACTGTAAAAAGCAGCATGAGCTATCTTAAGAAAAGCCTTTTTGAATGTGTTTAAAGTCTCCTAAATTTCCTGCATATAAATGTTGAATACCTCCAGCATGTCAATCAATCTTGTTTTCCAGTTAACTTAGAATAAAATGATAATGAACTTGCATTTAGCCAGCGCCTTTCACAGAGTGAGCATAATTAGACTTGGAAAAGATCTATTAGGATATCAAACTTCATCTCTCTGCCCAGAGAGAACTATTCCTCCTGAGAGCTCCCTATTACTGTGTCGTGACTTGTTTTTAAAGTCTCAAGGGAAGAAATATTTACTACATTCTTGGATTATTTAATTACAGGCTTAAGGCAAAGTAACACCAGTCTAATAATCAGGAAACATGGATTTGATTCTTGATTTTGTCATTTATTTGTTTGTGACTTTGACCCAGACACTAGTCTCTCTAAGTCTTAATGTACAAAATGGTGTCAAAATTTTCTATATCACAGGGTTGTGGTTAAATCAAGAGAGAAAATACATGTAAAAGGACAGATAGAGAGCTTGGAACATTAGAGTCACCTGATAAATAAGATTTCTCTCTTTGGCAATTTCCTCTACTAACCATTCCCACACCTATTCCTCCCATATCCCCTCCTCCCTCCTATACTTTTCCTCAGTTAAGTATACTTTCTGAAAATGGTGAAGGATCTTGTTGCTTTTCTTCTTTCTAGTTTCCATGTATTTTCTAGCGCTGCCATAACAAAGTACCACAAACTGGGTGGCTTAAAACAAGAGATATTCAATCCTTGGCAGTTCTGGAAGCTGGAAGTCTGAAATTAAGGTTTCAGTGGGGCAATGCTCCTTCTGAAGGCTCTAGTGGGAAATCTGCCCTTGGCACTTCCTAGCTTCTGATGGCTCTCAGAAATCTTTTGCATCCCTCGTCTTGTGTCTTTTTCCCTCCCATCTCCAGCTCCACCTTCACATGGCCTTCTTCCCTGCATATGTGTGTATGTATGTACGTATGTATGTATGTATGTATGTGTGTGTGTGTGTATGTCTCCATGTGTTCTCCCCTCCCCTTACGAGGAAACTAGTCAACAGATTTCATCCTCATCCAAAACCAGTATGGCCTCATCTTACCTAATTACATCTGCAAACATCCTATTTTCAAGTAAGGCCCTGTTATGAGGTTCTGGGTGGACATGAACTTTAGGAGCAACACCATCTATCCTGTGTATCCTCAGCAGACCTGCCAATATCCTTGTCTTACTGCAAGATGTAAAGCAGACTCTAAAAAGATCTACCTCTGCTGCTGTGGATATGATCAATAATCAAACTTCCTCCTTTTACTCAACTTTCATTGCTTTCCCAAATATTTTTGCATTAGTTTCATCAGCGAAAACAAAAATTATTACCACTCTGCCCCAGTTGTCTTTATGTTTCTCTGAAGATTCTGAAGATCCTGCATGCTTGGAGAAAGAAGAAAGGACAGATGAGAGATTTCAAAGACAGAGGGAAGGCTCTGAGTGTGTGAACATTCCAAATAGGTTAAATTCCTCTATACCATTTATAACCTTTGAAATGCAAAGAGGGGAAAAGTCTCTGTTCTGTCCTGTGTTTCTGCTGAGTGACCTAAGCCCCTCATGTAACATCTCTCAAGATTCCCATCCCCTTCTCATACATAAACTGGGGGAAAAACATAATTAGTGTCCGGCCTGTCACTCATGGTTTTTGATAGGGCAGCATGGCATGACAAGATAATTTTAAAAGGTTAAGTGATACATATGTTTAAATTATTGAGGGGAGTATTATTGTTCCCTTGCTAGATTATAAATGACTTGGGAATTAGTATCATTTGTTTCTCATGCTTGTTCTTCCTCCTTTACTCCTTTTTCCTTTTCCCCAGAGCAACCTATTAATGCCAATATTAAAGGCTTACCTATTTGGGGAATTCAACTTATGTACAATTAAATTAAATTCTTACTTTCCCAAGTTTTGTATTTTAACTCTGTCAATACATATGTATCGAAATATTTTTCCACAAGTTTTAGAATTTGTTCTTTCTTTTTTAAAAAATTATTTTGTATGTGCCAAATGTCCTTTTACCCTTTTTCAACATGAATAGCCAAAATCATTATTTATTTGCAATGAAAACTGCCCTAAATAAATTGCTTTCTGTGAGTTTCTTATGAAACAACTATGAGAAATAACTATTGTATATAAAGCTCTTGTTTTGTAATGACAGATAAAAATAAAATACCCCACTGATCCCATTTCCACCTCCCAATCTCAAAGAAAAGTTGCATTTTTCTTTTTCCTTTTTTTGAGACGGAGTCTCACTGTTGTCGACCCAGGCTGGAGGGCAATGGTGCAATCTCAGCTCACTGCAACTTCCACCTCCCGGGTTCCAGCAATTCTCCTGCCTCAGCCTTCTGAGTAGCTGAGATTACAGGCACCTGACAGGGTTTCACCATGTTGGCCAGGCTGGTCTTGAACTCCTGACCTCAGGTGATCTAGTGCTGTGATTACAGGTGTGAGCCACCCCGCTCGGCCATTAGCATTTCAATCCAGTCATTTGGTGGGATCCACAAGGTCTTAAGTCAATGCAAATAAAAACACAAAAAGGTAACATAAAAACCAGAGAAAAGAAAAACACGCTGATTTTCCTATTATTTGTTAGCATGAAATATTGTGGTAAGCTTAATATTTTCAATACTTAATTCATATGGATAAATACATTCATGAGCATGTGATTTTGTTATTCCCAAATAAGCAGTCAAGGTGATATGGTCATTTACTTTAGACAACATGGGGAATCAACCTCACTTTGTCGTTGTTTAATTTGACAACATTTGGACCTATCCTCTCTTTTGCTTTTCCTTTTTCTTTGAGTAAACTAAACAATTCATTTATTTGTGATAATCCAAACTTTCTCCCCTGCTGCCATCTTTGTTTCAACTGTTCATTAAATTTGATATAATCCTGGGCCCCTGCATAGGATAGAGTTCTTTGAAAACTTTCTTATATATTGAATTATTTTTTAAATTTGAAACACAAATGGACATTTTCCTTCAGGTATACTTTAATAAAGGTTACCAACACATCACTTTTAAAAAAAAAAATTGTAGGGGGGTGGTTCATGGGGTTATTGGCGTGTAACTCTGTCTCTCTCTCACTAGTTTTCTAGTCTGTAAATGGGGCTTAATACCAAGTTCATACGGACTTTAGGAGGATTAAAGAGAGGCACTTGGGTAATGCAGAGACAGAAAGATGTCCATTGAAATGCTTTCTTCACTGAATAGTTGTTTGATGCCAGAAAAGTTCATTCACTTTCCTGAGCTTCAGTTTCCTTATACATAAAGTGAAAATAACAACACACACTTTATAGATGAGAAGATTCAATAGGATGACAAATAAAACACTTAAATGTTTTCTGAGAATGCAGAATTATTTAGATACTAGGTAAAGAACAGTGTTTAAAAACATAAATTCAATTTCTTCAATAAGGTCTACTTATCTTTGGAGGTGTCTGTTGGAGGGTGTGGAATTGTTTCCTCTCTCAACAATTTCTACTATGCTGAACATTTTAAATTTCTAGATGCAATTGCTATGATGTTGTCTAAATAAAACTATTTTAAGAAAGAATAGTGCTTTTAAAATACATTCTTTAAAGCAAGCAACACAGAAATTTTATCTCAAGGAAATGTTAAATTTGAAACAATATTCTATTACCTCTATGGCCCCTGGTAGTTTCTGTAGCAGAGGAGGCAACAGAAGAATAGAACCATACAAAAGAAAAGAGATGAATACACAAAAGACAGTAGAGAAAGCCAGAGTTATAATGTGATATAAAGTCATAAAATGAAAGGAATAAGTTGCTGGTAATATTAACTCAGCTAATACATACCAGGCTGACTCTTAAGGTTCATGGCTATTATCGTGTAACTACAGATTAAAAAACATTTTGCCCAAAACTCATTTCCTGCAGACTCCCTCAAAACATCTATGAAGATCCTATCTATTGAGCGAAACTCTTTCCATCACAGTTGTGAATATATAAGCCCGGGAGTTTTATGCTTATCATGAACAAATTTGATGCATTAAGTGATCTCAGATCATTCAATTTGTGACCCACACAGAGGTTTGAAAAGTAACTGAGTACAAAATTGCTAAATACATTTCAATTTAGACTAAGTAAGAGCTTGTAAAAAGAAAAATGGCTAAAAAATTATGTAATTAGTGCAGCTCTCCTAAGGAGAGATATAATTACAATAATCACAAATCATTTTTCCCTCATAACTGTAAATAGAGAACAAAGGGAAACTGACAGACTCTCTTTATCAGTTTTCGTTCTGGTGATAAAAGGTTTTTTGACATGGGTTACTGTCACCCATGAGTGTCAGTTTGGAGAAAGTGGGGAAGAAAAAACATCTTGTTTAAATTTCTGAGGAAAAAAATCATTTTTTAGTTCTGATCACTCCCAGTCTGCTGTAGAAGATGGGGGAATGAAGAAGAAGAAATGTCTTTGAACTTTTGTGTAGCCCATATTCTAATCCTAACAATGAGCTGTTGTAGGAAGAGACTTTGACAAAGTTAGGTTTGATGGATTGACTGATTGATTGATTGATTGGTTGATTGATTTTCCCCTTCTACTGTAGGGATTTGCAAGGAAAAAAAGCTATTGGTACAACTGATCCTACATCATGTTGAGCCACTTTATGATTTCATTGTAAAACAAGAAATAGTTTAGAAACTTTATTTGGCCTATAAATATGTCTGTGTATAGGCACAGTTACTTGAAGGCAGATGCTTCATATTTGGGGAGAATTTGGTCTTTTGGAGCCATCTACAAATTTTTCTTCCAAATATTTTCAGGTTGCTAACATTGATGATACAATTTTTGTTTAGTAGAGGAGCTGCAGATCCAAGCCACAGTTCTGTCGAGCCAAGGAAGAAACTAAACAATGAGATGCCCTGGTTTTAGTGGTAAAGGCGGGCAAGCAGCAGCAAGTGGACCACGGCCACTGCGCCAGGGACTAGGGTGCATTGCCTAGAAACCCTGAGGTTCCCCACCACCATGATTTCACAGAAGCCCCACAGTTTTTCCCACATGTTGTGTGCACCCTCCCCAACTTCTTTTTTTCAGATAGAAATGGATCCAGCTTAAGGTAATGAACCATGATGGTATTCTCTAGAGGATCTTTTGCTTTCCTTAATACAAGAGACAGATGCTTCTGGTTCTATCTTACTACATTCCTATTCTTCCTGTTTTGAATATGTACTCAGCCTTCCTGTAACCATGAACCCAGGGCCAAAAGAAATTCAGAAGCACTGACCGTGACGTTATTTGAGGACTTACGAAATGCCAAAAGGTGCCAACCTCCTAACTTCATGCTTAATATTTATTTAATTTCATGATAATTGAACAGTTGGAGCTGAAGGCTTTCTAAACTGAACATATGAATATTGTATTAGGGAGAAAACAGGGGGAGAGGAAGTCAATTGGAGATTTTTTTTTCCCAAGAGACAATTCCTTAGAATTATGTGAAATCATTGTTTAACTTAGCATATTGAATTAAGTTTAATCTGAATTAGAATTTTCTTAGTTGCCTTTTTTTGTTTAATTTTTTTTTTCTGACAAAATATTTGGTGGAGACTTGTGAAGAAAACCAGATCGGATATTCCTTTACTTTGTTTTTAATTTTTATAGAACCATAATAGTTGTACATATTTAGGGGCAAATGTGACATTTTGATACAAGTATATAATGTGTAATGATCAAATCTGGGTAATTGGGATATGCATCAGCTCAACCATTTATCATTTCTTTGTGCTGGAAACATTCAAATCTGCTCTTCTAGTTGTTTTGAAATATACAATAAATTATTACTAACTATAGTTACCTTGTTGTGCTACTTGACATTAGATCTTATTCCTTCTTACTGTATTTTTGTACCCGTTAACCAATCCCTTTTTGTCCTCCCCTCCCCATTACCCTTTTCAGCCTCTGGTAGCCACCATTCTATTCACTACCTTCATGAGATCAATTTTTTATTTCCCATGTGAGTTAGAGTATGCAACACTTGTCTTTCTGTGCCTGGCTTATTTCACTTAAAGGATTGTCCTCTAGTTCCAACCATGTTGTTGCAAATGAAGGATTTCATTCATTTGTATGACAGAATAGCATTCTATTGTGTATATGTACCACATCTTCTTTTCATTAATCTGTTGATGGACTCTTAGGCTGATTCCATATCTTGACTATTGTGAATAGTGCTATGATAAACATGGATGCCCAGATACCTTTCTGACATGCCGATTTGCTTTTTTTTTTTCCTTTGGACATATACCCAGCAGTGGAATGGATGAATCATATGGTGGTTCTATTGTTAGTTTTCTGAGAAATCGCCATAGTTTTCCATAGTGGCTGTATTAATTTATAGCCACTAATAGTATATAAGCATTTCCCTTTCTCTGCATCTATACCAGCATTTATTTTCTGTCTTTTTGATAATAGCCATTTAACTGGGGTGAGGTGATATATCATTGTGGTTTATATTCGCATTTCCCTGATGATTTTTGATGTTGAGAATGTTTTCATATACTTGTTTGTCATTTGCATATCTTCTTAGAAATATCTATTCAGATCTTTTGCCCATTCTTTAATTGAATTATTGGTTTTTTGCTATTGAGTTGTTTTAGTTCCTTATGTATTCTAGTTATTAAGCCCTTGTCAGATGGACAGTTTGCAAATATTATATCACATTTTGTGGGTTGCCTCTTCACTTTGTTGGTTGTTTCCTTTGCTGTACAGAAGCTATTTAGCTTGATGAAATCCTATTTGTCAATTTTTGCTTTGTTCGCCTGTGCTTTTGAGGTATCAATCAAGATATTTTCTTGCTGAGACTAATGTCCTGAAGCACTTCCCCAATGTCTTCTTCTAGAAGTGTCATAGTTTCAGGTCTTACATTTAAGCCTTTAATCCATTTCGATTTGATTTTTGTATATGGTGAGAGAGAAGGGTCTGGTTTCATTCTACTATATGTGGATATTGAGTTTTCCCAGACCATTTAATGAAGACACTGGTCATTTCCCAATACATATTTCTGGTACCTTTGTCCAAAATGAGTTGATTGAAAATGCATGGGTTTATTTCTGGGTTTCTTATTCTGTTCCGTTGGGCTATGTGTCAGTTTTTCTGCCAGTACTGTGCTGTTCTGGCTACTATAGCTTCATAGTATAATTTGAAATCAGGTAGTGAAATGCCTCCAGCTTTTCTGCTTGTTTTGTTTTGCTCAGGATTGTTTTGGCTATTCTGGGTCTTTTGTGGTTCCATATAAATTTTAGAATTTTTTTTTTTGAGAATGTCATTGGCTTTTTGGTAGGGATTGATTGCACTGAATCTGTAGATTGATTGGGTAGTATGAACATTTTAACAATATTGTTTCTTCTAATTTGTGAACATGGAATATCTTTCTATTTTTTGTGCATCTTCAATTTCTTTCATCATTGGTATATGGTTTTGATTATAGATATCTTTCATTTCTTTGGTTAAATTTATTCCTAGGTATTTTTTCTTTTGTAGCTATTATGAATGAGATTGCTTTCTTGATTTCTTTTTCACATTGTCCACTGTTGGCATGTAGAAATGCTTCAAATTTTTCCATATTGATTTTATAGCCTGTAAACTTACTGAATTTGTTTATCAATTCTAACAGTTTTTTGATGAATTATTTAGGTTTTTCATAATATAAGATCAATTGTCTATGACAAGGACAATTTGACCTCTGCATTTCCAATTTGGATGGACTTTATTTCTATCTCTTTTCTTATTGCTCTGGCTAGAACTTCCAGTACTGTGTTAAATGAAAGTGGTAAAAGTGAACATCATTGTCATACAATGAAATACCAATGACATTCTTCACAAATTTATAATTGTACAGTTCTGAAGGCCAGGAGTCTGAAATGGTTATTATGGGGGTAAAAATAAAGGTGTTGGCTGCATTCCTTCTGAAGGCTCTAGAGAATACATTTCCTAGCCTTTTCCAGCTTCTGGAATTTGCCTGCATTCTTTGGCTCATGGCCACTTCTATCTCCAAAGCCAGCAGTATAGCACCTTCAACTCTCCTTTTTCTCTGAATCTGGGTCTGTCATTATATCTTCTCCCCTTCCTCTGAGTTTCCTGACTCCCTATTTTATTCATTTAGACCTTTGTCCTTATAATCTCCTCATCTCAGATTTTTAACTTAAGCAGATAAGAAATTTTTTTGTTTGTTTGTTTGTTTTTTTGCCATGGAAAGTAACATATTCACAGGTTCTGAGGATTAGGTTGTGGACATCTTTTGGAGCCATTATTCTGTGTACCACAGTATAAATAGCACTTAAAGGTACATTTATTTTCTCTACGGTAGAAAGCAGAAGTAGTTTTAGTTGAACAACAGTTGGGCTCCACCACATATGTATTCTATATTTTCAAGCAATTTAATGGACTTTTTATATCTTAAAGATAGATATTCATAGTTTTTATAGGTTTATCCTAAAGTCTGAAGAATTTTTAATATAATGAAATCATATTACATGAAGGTTAAGTTCTAAATTCATACATATTGTCAAATCATTGCACAATCAAAATAATTCTTTGAAAGATTGAAATATTCCTCAAAATGTAGTATTTTTATTTTTATTGCATTTTGGCTGCAGTTTCTTCCCCTCTCTCCACCTCACACAGTAAGAGCCAAAGCCTGGAAGAATAATAGAATAAATCAGGAAATTCTAACACTTCATGTTTGTTTTATTTGTATGTTTATTGGGTTTTCTGAGTGTTTGACATGAATTTGCATAAGTTAAAGATGCCTATAATGGATTCCACTTTTAGTTACAGAACCTGGAATTTGAATCCAGCACACTAAATGTGAGTCCTTGTCTTGTCACTGATTATCTACAAAATCTAGACTATTAAAATATATGTATGTATACACACACATATACATATAAAGTTTATTGAGAAATAATTTATATTCTATAATATTTACCCATTTTTAACTGAATTCTACAATTCAATTATCTTTTGATATTAAATACAGTTTTGCCACCATTAACATAATGTAATTTTAAATATTTTTATTAACATCCAAAATTCTCTCTTGCAATTTGCAGCCACTTCTTTTCTCATCCCCAGTCTCAGGAAATTACTAACTTACTTTCAATCATTATAGATTTGATCCTTTTATATAAACGGAGTCTTGTAGTATGTGGTCTTGCATGTCTACTTTCCATCACTTAGCACAGATATATTTTAGATGCATTCCTGTTTTATCATGTATCACTAATTTCTTTTACTTAAATAGTATTCCATTTTGTGATATAACAGATTTCGTTTATCTAATTACTAAGAAACAGAAATTTGAGTTGTTTTCAATTTTGACTATTATGAATAATGCTTCTACAGACATTTATATGCAAGCCTTTGTCTGGACATGTTTTCACTTTCTTGGGTAGATTTCTAGGAGTAGAAATATAGGATCATGATACATTTATATTTAACTTTTTACAGACGTTGCCAAAATAATTTTTAAAACAGTTGTACCATTTTATATTTCTACCAGCAATGTTATAAGGGTATCAATTTATCCACATCATTGCCAACACTTGTTATTGTCTTTTTTTATTATAGTAATTCTAGTGGATGTTAAATGGTATGTTATTTTGGTCTTGATTTGCATTTCCTAGATGACTAATAATGTTGAGATCTTTTCATGTGTTTATGAGCCATTCCTGTATCTTTTTCAGTGAAGTATCTATTCGAATATTTTGCCCATTTTAAATTGGGTACTTTTTAATAATAATTGTAAATTATTTCATCATCTTAGCAAGTGGTAGGATCTAATATTAGTCTTACTAATAAGATGTAGTGTCTAACTTTTAACTTGAGGCCTGGTACCTGACCTACAATTAAGCTGATTTTTCCCATTATATTTCAGTCTTTTTGATTGGTTTTGTTTTTTCAGATAGAGTCTCACTCTGTCATCCAGGCTAGAGTGCAGTGGTGCCATTTTGGCTCACTGAAACTCCACCTCCCATGTTCAAGTGATTCTCCTGCCTCAGCCTCCCAAGTAGCTGAAATTACAGGTGCATGCCATCATGCCTGGCTAATTTTTGTATTTTTAGTAGAGATGGGGTTTCACCATGTTGACCAGGCTGGTCTTGAACTCCTGACCTCAAGTGATCCTCCTGCCTCAGTCTCCCAGAGTGCTGGGATTGCAGAAGTGAGCCACCATGCCTGGCCAGCATTATATTCCAGTATTGTCCAGTTCTTGTTTCCTCAGTGTTAATTCCCTGGTTCTCTTATGTTATTGGAGCACTACTCACACTTGTTTAACTGGGACCCTGAAAAGTTTCATGGCATTTTAATGACATGCTTAGTGACATTCTTAGTGACAGACAGATACATGATCCAGAACCAGAGCACCCTACCTATCTAACTCCAGTTACGTTGGGTTGGCAAGACTATATCTGCTTCTAACCACTTGAGAAGTGAGAAGCATCCTCCTGGTTCTCACACCTCCATGAATCATGTTTGTATAACCCTCCCATCTCTAGCCACTGGGCTCTGGGCTGCCATGCTGCTTTCAGTTTCTTTTTTCTTCTCCACAAAGGAATGTTATACTTTGGCCATAAGAACTGTATGAAAGTGCAAAAGGTGTTCAAAGGAAGAAAAATTTGTATTCTGTTCAGGGGATCAAGCACAGCTTCCTGGATTTAATAAAGTTTGAAAACAAGACTGAAGACTAAATACTGTGCATTCTACAGGGCCCCATAAGCTATCAGACTCTCCTCTAGAGTTTATACAAAATCAGCCCTCCATTTTTTCACCTCCATCACAGAGTAAGTAATGAACCATGTTCCACGATGCAGTTCACATTTTGTAATCCCAAATGTTCCTGCTTGCCCAGCACTTGACCTTTCTTGTGCTTCTGAGTTCAAGCTAACTTAAATAGGAGGCAATATACAATAGTGATCATGAGTGTGAATTCTGGGTCCAGAGTGCCTGGGATCAAACACTGGGAAAATTACTACATCTTTCTTTGTCTCTGAATCTTTAACTATACAATGGGAATAATAATAGCATGCATTTCATAAGTTAGTTTTGAGGATTATGAAGTAATACATGCAAAGTATTAGAACAGCTCCTGACACATAATGAGACCTGTGAAGATGTTAAGCCGTTTTTTCTTCTTATTGATCCTCACACCTAATATCTGGTACTGTTTGTCTGGTAATAAATTTTGCTTCATTCTCTGTTGCTGAGAATTTCTATCATTAACTGAACTGCCTCTGGCCATGCTGAATAGATAGCCTATGTAATATTACCTGGTCCCTAGGATTACAAAGGGAAGCATCATACAGTTGTTAACTGAACTGAAGCATTGAAATAAAAAGACTTGAACCTCTGCAAAATACTATTGCTTTTTTTTTTTAAACCTTGAGCAACTAACTCAACCTCTCTAGGTTTATGCCTTATGGAGTGATTATATATATAAACAGATGTCTCAAATAAAATATGAACATAGTAATGTGCTCAACACAAGTTACTGTGGCTACTATTACCAACACCACCATTACCAAACCACCACTTTGGTGCCACTTCCAATATAAGAAGCAATCAGATGGCATGCCCTAGTCTGATAGGACTCCAGACATGTAGAACAACTACAGACACAGAAGTTCCTTTACACAGGAGGAAGAAATTAAATGATAAAAAGAATAAGGTTGGTAAAAAGACCAAAAGGTAACTGTTGATCCAATTTGATAAGTCCAATTTAGCTAAACATAGGGAACTGTGGGAGAAATGTATCAAATAAACCTTAATACATTTTTTTAGTCTGAAAACTAAAATGATAGAACTTATGCTTTAGGAATATAAACTTGGCAGTAAAGAAAAAATGTCATTTTGAGGGGAGGCAAGGCAATAAGATGTAGACAGCAGTTAGAAGCTATTGGAGTGGGGAAGCAAGATGAAACTGGAGCATTCATTAGGTGCTTGACTGTCAAGATAGAAAGTAGGGAGTTACATGTACCCGTAGAAGCAATATTGCAGAGGAAACATGACTGGTCTGAGAAATGAATATTTGTGTCATCGAGAAAAAAAGCAAACATGAACATGAGTTTTGAGCTGAATACTAGAAAGATAGAAACAGGACAGTTAAATTGAGGAGTATCTGTGAATAGATACACTATAAGTGAGGTTCCTAGGCATAAATAAGAGAACATAGACTTTGAATATTTTTTGGTGGAGTACTAAGTTGCTTAAAATACCTCAGCTTCAAGATTCCTTGGATGTCAAATGGGACCAACGACAATCACCTTGCCAGATAATATAGGAAACTAAATTAAGGAGGAAAATACATATTTAGGTACAGCACCTACTACAGAATTTGAAACAAAGTAGAGATACCATAAATGGTAACCATTTCAAGCTTCATTCTTGTCATGATAACTTCTGAGCAATTTTAATTAAAAGGGGTATTTAAATGTAAATGTTGAGCATACATAGTAGTAGAATGGGAGACAGGTTAGAACTAGATCCGTGAATCTTCAGTCGATGGCATAAAGCCATGATAGTCGAGAAGCTATCCATTCACACAAGAAGGAAGTATGGCACAGCATTCTGGAGCCCAAGTTCTATAATCAAACTCCTGGATTAGAACTTAGTATTTCCAGTTATTAACTCTGACTTTGGGCAAGTTACACAATCTCTCTGCCTCTGTTTGTTTCATCAGGTAAATGAAATTAGTGACCGACCCTATAAAATATAAAATCATTGCAGGCATGAAATATTATGATGAATGTAAAACATTCAGAAAATAGTGCCTGACCCTCATTAGATGCTTAATAACTTATTATTGTCATCTTAGTTGTCAAATATCTATCATAACACTCTTTCTATAAGTCATTGATAGAGAAAGTTTTATGAAGATGAACTTTTACTATAGTAGAGGAAGGAAATAAAATTGCAAAGGAATGTGAAGAAACAATCTGCTAAGTGGATCCAGGCTATGTCACAAAGGCCAGAGGAAAACTAACTCTAACAAAGTAGGGAATGATGTTTCCTGACTAAACATTTCAGTGAAATTAAAGCCTGATGATACATTGTGAGACATATGTGGCAGGCAGAATAATGGCTCTTCAAAGATGTCCACATTCTGATCCCTAGCATCTGGAAGTATTTTACCTTACTTGGCTAAAGGGACTTCGTAGATATGAATTAACTAAGTATCTTGAGATGGGGAAATTATCCCGGATTATCTGGGTGGAAGCAGGGCTCTTATAAAAGAGATGTAAGAGGGTCAAAGACAGGGGAGAAGATGATATGACAAGAAAAACAAAGGAAGAAAAGGTGATGTGATGTGGGGCCATGAGCCAAGGAATGCAGGCAACCCCTAGAAACTGCAAAAGGCGAGAAAATTGATTCTCCCCTAGAGTCTCCAGAAGGAATCAATCCTGCTAACTCTATTTTAACTTTGTAAGACTAATTTTGGGCTTCTCTTCTCCCAAGCTGTAAGATAATAAATTCATGTGTTTGAAGTCACTAAGTTTATGATAATTTGTTATAGCAGCAACAGGAAACTAGTACCAAACACTTATTATGAGATCAGTAGTGATTTTAAAAGTAGTAGATTTGGAAAATCCATGACTACAAAAGCCAAGAGATAAAGGTTAAGAACATGAGGGTATGTGAGAGAATGGTGCAAAGGAATCATTTGGAGACAGTCAATGACAGCTTTCCTTCTTTTGAGCACCAAGTTTAATCCATTGTATAACTCTCATCTTCTACTATACTCAAAGCGCTACATTGCAAAGATGTAGGATATAATTTTGTCCTTAAGAAGTTCACACTCCCAGGTAGAAGTGATTAAAATGTAGTGAAACCATTCTTTTTGTCATAATAAAAAGACAAAAGAAAAACACACTGATTCTTTCTGACTAGGGAAAAGAGAGGTTTGGAAAGACTTCACAATAGAAATATCTTACAATTTGTGACTTAAAAGTAGAAGTATCCGAGAAAAAGCTCTGGAAGCAGGGTACCACAGGCTTTTCAAACAAATGAGTTGTGAAAAGCAGAATAACATTGTGGAGTTGGCGAATTACTTGGCATAAGTGTAGATTAGAGTGCATGAAGGGTAAACACTAAAATTAGGATAACACACTTTGACTCTAATGGAGAATCTCCAAAGTCTATTCTTGATATATCTACTGCTCTTCATCTCTACTGCTCCCCTCCACCCCCATTTCAATCATCATTATCAGTCATAACGCTTGTTCAGTAGAAACTAGTGCCCATTCTGTGCTAATTACGTCCTTCTATTTTATTTCCTTTTTTACTTAAACATTCCCACCATTTTTTTCCTTATAGCCATTGTACTTACCATCCCTTGTACCTAGAACATCTAGGGCCCTGATGCCCACATGGTTTGGCCTACTTGTCAGTTACATCTCAGTTTGTAAGAGGGGTCTTCCTTGGCTTCCTTGGTAGCCTCCTCAGACACACCATATCATAACATCTTATTTTATTTACATCTTGGCATTTATGATGATCTGAAATTATCTTGTTCATTTACTTACTAGATTGTCTATATCGTCTCACTTCCAACTCCTGCTAAAATCTAAGCTTCCTGAATGTGTGTGTCCTTAACCTTGTTCACTGTTCTACCTCTAGTGCCTGGGTTGGTGCCTGAGACATATTGTGAACACAGCGCATATTTACTGAATGTGTTGCAGAGGCTCTTGAATGCCATGGAATGTGGTATACAATTTCCAAGTTCAAATATTATTAGTCATTTACTATATGGACCACCTCTGGAAAGTTAATGTCCTTGAGTCTTGTTTTCTTGATACATAAAATGAAAACTCTTAATACCTACTTTCTAGGGCTCTAGTGAGGGTCAGTAAGGATGCAGCCAAAGCATCTAACATAGTGACTAATCCATACTAAGCACTTGGTAATGTATGCTATGATTATTATTATTTCCATTAGATAATGGGAGATGTTCATAGGAGAAGGCCATGAAGTAGCTAAATTTTCAAAGATCAAAGAGTCAGTAAATGACAAGATGAATCAAAGAGAGGTGTAGCTCAGAAAGAAAGATGATTCTGTAGGTGTACTTATGTGTGACCTTAGAAATACCTTGACCTAATACATATAATGGAAATTTTAACTAAAGAGAGGCATTAAGTTCTTATGGCTTGGGATTATTTGTAGATTTCCGATGGCCATTGTTATGAACAAGGAACAGAATTTATAACACTTGTCTTAGACTGTTTTGTGCTACTATAACATAATACCTGAGACTGGGTAATTTATAATAAACAGAAATTTACTTGGCTCATGATTCTGGAAGCTGGGAAGTCCAAGATTGTAAGGACAGCATCTGGTGAGGGCCTCGATGCTGCATCATCCCATAGTGGATGGTAGAAGGGCAAGAGAGGTTGCAAGAGAACAAAAGATTGAACTCATAGCCTTAAATCCTTTATAATCAGCATTAATTCATTCATGAAGGTGGTGTCCTTATGAAATAAACACCTCCAATTAGGTCCCGTGTCAAAACACAGTTGTGTTGGGATTCAGTTTTTATCACGTTTTTCAGGGCACAAATTCAAACCATAGCACCACCATCCCTAACTAAATCTTGAAATAATATTTGTCATAACACACGATTCTAGGGAAATAATACATGGTGAAGTAGACTTGCCAATATAGAACAAATAAGTATAGTAGAATAAGAAGCTGCTAAATTTGATGGTTTCCTAAATTTTTAAAGTAAATAAAGTTAGCAAATGCCATTCCGAATAAAATTATAAATGATATCAACAATAATTTGCTTACATTTATGTAATTAAAACGCATGGCATTACAAAAACTGGTGGACTGAACATAGCATATCAACAAAAGTGATATTTTCTTCATACTCATTTCACTCTGTGCCTGCCATGGAGAAAGTGTGGCACATAATAATTAATAATTAAAATGAAAGCAAGAGAGATTTTCTTCAATTTAAGTAAAATTAATATATGAAAGAATATTAATTTACCAGATTTATATATTTAAGGGGCTTCCAAAGAAACCTTTGGCTTTACTAAATGACTCACTGCCATATTTCTGTTTATTCAGAATTTGATTCTAAAACACAATGTTCAGATTAAGGGAGTTGTTACTCTTACTTCACTTGATATTGATGAGAAATCAATTTAATAATTGTATTCAGTTTGGGGAGTCATATTTAACCTGATCCCATATTATTACATGTTATTAATATCCTGAAAAGCATTCAAAGAAAGACAAAGGGCATAGTAATAGAAATCTTGAAACTATGTTGTAATAACTAAATCAAGAAACTATGGATTTTTAATATAAAGTAAGAAAAATGCAGATGTGGTAGAAGTTACTAGGTTTAGGGGGCTAAGATGGTTGGTTGGTTTGTTAGAAGGCAGCAGTTTCCAAATGATTGTACTGTGAAAGGAATTATGTGTCATGCATGCAGTTCTAGAGGACAGAATTAGGATGAGAAGCAAAAGCTACAGGGCACATATGGGGGTCAACATATGAATAGACATTGCAAAAACTAAGACCAAACACTTCTTAAACAATGACCTCCATCTTAAATTGACATTGGGGTGACAATGGAATTGCTTATATCATCTATGGAGTTCTTTCAGTATAAGGAGATAAGAAAAAGCTGAATAGAAAAAAAAAGATAAAGTAACTTCCATTCAGTACATATGGGGTCATAAATTTGTCAACATAAACAACAAGACAAATGTTTTGATTATAAAATCCTTTGCATATTTCTGTGTTTTCCTGGTAAGTTCCTGATAAGTTAATATTATTCATTTATGCTGATGTCATTATCAACAAGTTGTTTAGGTAAAACTTTAATCTTGCTTTCGTTGTATCTGGTGTTTACTGCTGTCATATCTTACTTCCTGCTGTAGAAAAATTAGCTGATTTCTTCTCTCTTTTATCCACTATACTGTAAAATCTGTGTGGATTGAGAAAGCGTTTTGTTTGTCTCTGAATCTCCTCTCCCAAGCACAATGACTGTAACAT
This sequence comes from Homo sapiens, assembly GCF_000001405.40. Taxonomy (NCBI): domain Eukaryota; kingdom Metazoa; phylum Chordata; class Mammalia; order Primates; family Hominidae; genus Homo; species Homo sapiens. The sequence goes on from NC_000011.10 coordinate 80,682,829, forward strand.
AGACAATGCTTAATAGATGCTTGTTGGTCTTAATTAAATCCTCAAATTCTCCCTATGTCATTATTCAGATGCCTGAAACTACACTATAGAAATGTATGCTTCATATTTTCAGGTGCTGTCTGTAGATGTTGGTATCTGAAAAAAATGCAAATTCTTATGATAATTTGTAAAACTTTCATTGTAATAAGAGCCATTGTTTATTAAATGTCTACTATGTGTCAGGTAATCTCTTTATATATTTATTACATCGAAATCCCACAAAAAAATCATCAAAGTACATGCTAACTAGCGGATAAGAGAAATGGAGATGCTGAGAAGTTAAGTGACTTATCTAAAGTCACCCATCTGAAACTGGCAACTGACCCAAGTTATTTCTAATTCCAAAACCATGAGCGTTTGAATACAATACAATTTAAACAATGTTTTAATAATTTATTATGAAAGAATTCAAATGAACAGAGAAGTTGCGAATATAGTATAGTGACCTCCAATATCCTTGAATCCAGTTTCCCTATTAACATCTCAATGCATTTGTTCCATGGCATTCCTTTTTTTCCTCCCCTTTTCTTCCCTCCCTTCCCTTCCTTTCCATACTTTTCTTTTTCGTACACATATATATATACACACACATGTGTGTGTGTTATTTATATATACACATATACCCATTATTAGTAGTCTTTTTCTGAACAATTTGAGGGAGGAATGAAAATCTTCTAATAATTTCATTCCACCTAGAATAAAATCTAATATCCTCACAATGGAGATGGAATAAGAATGGGATGGTGCTCACGAAATTTTATAACAATCAGCCACAAATTACTTGTTCTAATCACTTTTTACTTCGCTAAATCTACTCTGGCCATCCTTGCTTTCCTGCCACCTCCAGGCCTCTATATTTGTTCTGCCTGACTGTAATATTTTCCCCTAAATATCCTTGGGATTTTAGGGAAAAAACTTGAGCGTTTTATTCAGGTTTCTTTCTTGTCCACCTGATTTAAAACAGCAACCCACTATATTTCTTCATATTACTTTGTCACTTTCCGACCTTAGGATATATATCTATTGATTCTTTTTTTATTTTACTTTAAGTTCTGGGATACATGTGCAGAATGTGCAGGTTTCTTACATAGGTATACGTGTGCCATGGTGGTTTGCTGCACCTACCAACCCGTCATCTAGGCTTTAAGCCCTGCATGTATTAGGTATTTGTCCTAATGCTCTCCCTCCCCTTGTCCCCTACCCACCGACAGGCCCTGGTGTGTTATGTTCCCCTCCCTGTGTCCATGTGTTCTCATTGTTCAACTCCCACTTATGAGTGAAAACGTAGTGTTTGGTTTTCTGTTCCTGTGTTAGTTTGCTGAGAATGATGGCTTCCAGCTTCATCCATGTCCCTGCAAAGGACATGAACTCATTCGTTTTTATGGCTGCATAGAATTCCATAATGTATATGTGCCACATTTTCTTTATCCAGTCTATCACTGACAGGCATTTGGGTTGGTTCCAAGTCTTTGCTATTGTAAATAGTGCTGCAATAAACATATGTGTGCATGTGGCTTTATAGCAGAATGATTTATAATCCTTTGGGTGTATACCCGGCAAAAAATCAGGAAACAACAGATGCTGGTGAGGCTATGGAGAAATAGGAACACTTTTACACTGTTAGTGGGAGTGTAAATTAGTTCAACCATTGTGGAAGACAGTGTGGTGATTCTTCAAGGATTCTTTATTTATTTATTTACTTAGTTATTTACTTATTTATTTAAATTTATGGCTGGGCGTGATGGCTCACGCCTGTAATCCCAGCACTTTGGGAGGCTAAGGCAGGCAGATCATGAGATCAAGAGACTGAGACTAACCCTGTCTCTACTAAAAATATAAAAATTAGCTGGGTGTGGTGGCGTGTAATTGTAGTCCCAGCTACTCAGGAGGCTGAGGCAGAAGTATCGCTTGAACCCAGGAGGCGGAGGGTTCAGTGAGCCGAGATTGTGCCACTGCACTCCAGCCTGGGTGACAGAGGTGAGACTCCATCTCAAAAAAAAAAAAAAAAAAAAAAAAAACAAAGAAACAAAAAACTATGCTTAATGTGGGCAAGGCATTTTCTCTATTAGATATCATTGTATTCCAAATGCCTAGAACAGTGCCTGAACCATAGTTGGTGCTCAATAAATATTTGTTCAATTAAAAAAGGAATGAAGTGACACATAGATTAATTATTTCAGTGTATTGATGGCCTTGTAGCCCATATTAGATAGTAAAACCTTGTAGATTATCTACGTCTTTTATCTTTTTATTATTGCAGGACTTGCTACAGTGCCTAGCATATGAAAGGTACTGAAGAAGTAAGATGATGAATAAACAAATGAGTAAGAACAAAACAGGAGCTTAGATAGTCCTACGGCTCTAAGTTACTGACTCTCATTCCAGTGCTCTTTCTGGTAGCCCACATGATTTTCCTTGCCTGTGTAATTATGTACCTTCCTTTTTCTAAAGCTAGCTGAAATTTATTTGCAAAATTGGTTTGCTACTGAAGTAATCACTAAGTCAACCTTTTCTTTTCTGCAAGCCTACCACATTTCATCTATCTAGGCTAAAAAAAAAGTTTTTGGTTTGAAAAGTTTGAAAAACAGTAATAGTACTTTGAAACACTTATGAAGACTAAATAGTACCTTAATTTTAGTATTTAATAGGGAACAAAAATAATAAATATTAAGTAATAAGTATTATAAGTATTAAGTATTAATAAAAATTAATAAGTATCATATAAGCAACAAAAATATCCTCTATAGCATTTGTTTTACAGTGATGACAATGAGGAATAAAATCCAAATACCTGTGAGATCTGATACCACTAACATATTAGTTTGCTGCCAATGAGTATTTAAAATGTCATACAAGGGAGAGAGGATAGTCACAGGGAGCCTAGAAATCAGTTTGAGATTCTTGATCTGATGCTTTTTTTACTCTTGGGCAAATCACCTTGATGTCCTTCTATCTGGTACCACAAATACTTCCTCTCCTTCCACCTGACCTATATTCAAGTCTCAATCATATCTCTTCTTTTGGGACATAGGACAAGATTTTCTCTGGTCTTCTGTTTCCCATTTCTAAAATAATGAAATAACGCCACTTCAGAAGTTCCTAACGAGGACAAAATGAGAGGTCATACGCCAAGTGTATCAAGTACACAGTAAGTATTGTACTATGGTTGTTTCTGTTCCCTCTTCTCCTCTAGGACACAGTAGAATGAAAGAAGTAGTATTGAAAGCCACTAGAAATAATATTTAAATAAAAATATGGCCCGGTTCCCAGCTGTAATACTCTCAAGAATTCTTGTCCTCTATGTAAAATAAGTAAGAAAATGATAAAAGTAGAAAATCAGAATAGCCAACTCCAACTTTTTCCAACACACCCCGAACCTGCCCCCTTCTTACCCCTTATACTACCTATCCAGTTAGTAAGAACACAAGTTGGTTAAACTAGAAATCTAAGAGGCATTTGACTTCTGAGCCTTCTTCATCAATGAGTTAGTTAACAAATTCTGTCTATTTTACCCCAGAAATGTCTCTGTAATTCACCTCCCTTCCTAAGCCCACACTGCTCCTTCCTCAGTTGAGCAAGTCAGCATGCTTACTTATCAGCTTGGCCTTCCTCCTTCTAATCTTAACTCCTCCAATTCATTGCTTCAACTGTAAATGCTTTTCAAGATCTGATTGTGTTTTTGCCTGTAGTAATGGATTCTTGTTGAATAGTGGATAAATTTTAAAGTAAAAGAAAATGCAAACTTTTAACCTATCATTTTCAATTCTTAAAGATCTGGTCTTAACCTATGTATGCCGTCCTGTTTTCCACCACCCCTCTCTACGTTCCATGTACCGTATTCCAGTTACAACTGATTTCTCTGAACCCACTGCATGCGCTCACATGCCCTTGACCTCTGTCTTTACATCTTATTTCCTGACCAATCAGTCTCAAGTAGCATTTCAGACATTATCATATCACTCTATTTCCTTCATCTCACGTATCTTTAACTGATGTTTTCTTATTTCTTTGACTTATCCCCCTTCTGCCATAGTATAAACCCCATAAAAGCCATGATCTTTTCTTGTTCAGTCATTTAATCCTAGCGTAACATTATGAAATAAATATTTGACTTTCATCCCCCATTTCCTGGCACACAGCTCCTAAAACCCTTGGAATCTCCTGAATGATGAGTGTCCTTTATATGCTAATGAGATGACTTTTGGCTGGCAGTCTCTAGACAGCCTCAGGACGGGGGCTGGTAACCAGAAATACCAAGGCATGATTAGAGAGTTGGGTTGTTCAACCCAATCCCCCACCTTCCAGGACCAGAGAGGGCCTGAAGTTTGAGTTAGATCACCAATGGCGCATAATTTAAGCAATCTCGTCTATGTAAGGAAGCCTCCACAAAAACACACCAGGACAGAGCTTCTGGATTTCTGAACCTGTAGAGGTGCCTGGATTGTGGCATGCCCAGAGAGGGCGTGAAACTTCCTGGTCCCTTACCACATGGCTTACTCTATGCATCTCTTCTATCTGGCAGTTCATCTGCATCCTTGGTAACACTCTTTACAACAAGTGGGTAAACATAAGTGTTTTCCTGAATTCTGGGGGCTTCTCTAGCAAGTTAATTAAATTATGGGAAGCCTCGATTTATAGCCAGTTGGTCAAAGTACAGGTGGCAACTAACTATTTGCAGTTGGCATCTGCAGTGGGTTTCAGTCTTATGGGACTGAGCCTTCAACCTGTGAGATCTGGTGCTATCTCAGGTAGATAGTGTCAGAATCGAATTGAATTGGAGGACATCCAGTTAGTATCTGCTGGAAAATTGCTCAGTGTGTGGGAAACATAGACACACACAGACACACACACACACCACATATAACTGGTGTCAGAAGTGTTGTATTGAGTGAAAGTTAAAAAAAAAAAACTTTTGTGTCCTATTTTTAGGCCAGCTGTCTACAAAATTACTGGAAAATTAAATGCTTTGAATTGTGTGTGTAATAAATGAATGAAGAACAGCCCCTCTGGCTAACTACCTTTATTTCCTCATATTGGTCAACTAATATCCATCTTTTATTTCTCATTGTAATTGACTATAGAAGGGTGTGACAGAGATTACTGGTGCTCACCAATATTCATGTCCTCTTTTTCTTGGACATATAGCTAGACTAATATTTCCCAGCCTCCCTCACAGTTAGAATGCTCATGTGACAATATGTGACTGGAGAACAATCAGGAGGACCTGCGTAGGGTGGAGCCATAAGATAAAAGAAGTCTGGGCCCCTGAATGACTGATGAGAGTAAAGCCTCTATTCCCTATCCAGCACTCATGTAAGACTGTGATTTGAGTGGGAGACTTTTATTTCATTAAGTTGTTGAGGTTGAGGAGTTATTTGTAATAGCAATTAGCCTATCCTGACTAACACAAATAGTTTACTGAAAGCACATGTCACCCTTTACCCCTCCCCCACGAAACTATGAGCTCATAAGAGCAAGGGTCATGGCGGATTCAATTTTGCATCTTCAGTTTCTAGTATAATCCCTGATACATATGGTGTGCCATGAATTAATGATTAATTTCAATGATATACATTTCCAAATTCTAAGTTATCATTTACTCTCAAATGACACCAAAGATCCTTTATCTGCTAAACAGTTTTTTCTTAACCAAACTGAAATAAAAAGATTTCCAGTATCTGTGTGATGTAACGGAAAAAACGAGAGCATGGAGACCAGATAGTCCCACTCTCAAAGGCTGGCTCTAGGACTTTATCTGTCATCTTGAGCAAGGAATTTTACCTCTGTGAATCTCAATTTCTTCCTCTGTAGATGGGGATAGTAATTATTATGAAGACTAGAAATAACATACATAAATCATATACAAGTACCTGACAAGCATGCTTATCACAAATGGTATGAAAATTAATATTTTCATAATTACAAGGCAAAAGTCTGTATTTCTCCACAGAAATTGTGGAACAAAATATGGCAGCCTTCTTTGGTAGAATATTGAGAAGGTAGTTAGTACTGATAACATTTCTTGCATGGAAAGGAATTCTGTACCAATTCTGAGGTTTTGGCCATGGTCTAATGCTTGTGGGGACTTGGGTGGCATATGCCTTGATTGAAGGAACCTAACAGTGCCCAAAAGCATTGCAGACACCTAAGGGCTTTGCCAAGAGCTTAGACCATTTGCAAGCAGCAGAGACTGACCCAGCTACTGAGAATATAACAGACAGCAAACCAGAGACTTGAGAATCATAAGAACTGAGACGTAACAGCAGCAATTCCCCAGTCATTCTTTAAAATTCTCTGCTATTGCATTTGTTATTTGTAAGTGGATATTTTGCAGGAAACTAACAGCAAATCCAGCCCTTGGTGGTAAGATTTTTAAGCTAGAGCTTTCTCTAGAGAGATTTATTTAGAGCAAGCCTTTGAATCATTTAAAAGCAAACCAGGCAAATCCTCACGTATTTTCCCCCAGGAAATTACCTCATTTCTAAAGGGAAGATTGGATGATACTCCACAGCCAATATTGACTTACTGAAGATGTTATCAAATCCTCTGCCTTTCCTCATAATGATATGAGAAGATAAAGACGTGCTCCGCTACAGAGTCTTCAAAGGAAGCAGAAAAAGTATAATACATAATTTTAACTTAAGGTAGGAAATCGGAAGCTGACCTAGAATTGGCTTCAATGTACTACTATAATCTATGTCCCAGCCCTCAGGAAAGTATGAAGATTGGTTCCTATCTGGAGTGTGAGCCCTTAATTTTAAGACAGGCCCAGAAAAAATCTGGATGAAGTAATGACTGTAACAATGGTACTAACCGCTCGATCATCACTTGTTTACGGTAAATAACTTCCCAGTTTAAAAAGCACTTGCACAGACATTATTTATTTTAATCTTCTCAGAGGAACACTGCTGGACATCATGAGAATTCCATACAATGAGTGTCACATCCATCAGAAAACCAAGGGTATGAAGTCTAAAGAAATAGAAGATGGTGGTGAACAGGGATCACCTCTCTGCCTGATTTGTTTTCTGCCTAGGAGGTACCTTCATAATTGCATGTGTGAAATCCAGAGTCAAGAGAGATAAAGGTACATACTGCTAAGTCTCAGCCAATGTCTAGTCTTTTGCAGACCTGAACTAAGTGAGAGGACTTGGATTTGGGAAGACTATACATAATTTGACAATCCTTCTAGAATCTTAGGTTTCTAGATTCTGGGAAATAAAACTTAGTGTAGTATTAGTTTCATTTTATTATTAACAGAACAGAAAATAAAGAAATTTAAAACTTGATTAAGAATTAAAAAGAAAAAGTTATAAAGGAGGCCTAAATGATCTAGTCAGGAGACCTGTAATACCTTGTTCCACAAGGGAATCTTGTTAATCTTGGAAGATAGGGGTAGATAAGTGTAATCAGTCCTCACCTTTCATAGCACAATTTAATAAAAATGTCTAAATTTGTAACTGAAGAATTAGCAGCATACTTATTTTACCTGGTGATGTGGAATTAATGACAACAAGAAGTAATAAGAGAAATTATTAATAGAGTTAAAGTGGTTCCTTTTAAGCAGTAGGACTGAGTATGGGGAGACAGTTTTTAAAAATTATCTAAAATTTAAAACTAAAAAAATGAATTATAAAAATATGAAGTTAAATCACAATGTATTAGAAAGAGCCTTGGGTGTGGTATCCTGTGCTTATCAAAATGACTTCAGGAACATAATCTATACTCTCACATTAAAAAATCTGTATAACACACTGAATATTTTTATCTGTATAACAGTTGTACCATTTTTTTTACCCTTTCTATTTCACAGGGTTGAACTTTACTGTAAAAATTTATAAAAGGAACAGGGAAAATTTCTTTTGGCATTATAAGGCACTTGAGATATAATCATAGCCCTACTAATATACTTATCATGATTATTAGATCATGTGGTACAATATACAAGATAAATGTCTACATCTATTGTATTAGCTAGAATTGAAAGGCATCTTGTCTGTCGACCTCAAAAAGGCACTGGAATAGAAGGATAATATATTGCTGTGTCAGGTTCCCCTGGCAATTGTGATCCATAGTTTTTCTACTGCTCTGAGGAGCAAAAGATACACATATTTCATCGTCTTTTTACCATAAGAACTTGTGATGAAAACTATGCCCTAAGCATATGGGTTAATGTGGGGAAAATCACATTCACATATAGCACCTTTGAATTTATAGCCTAACATTAAAATATTGGCTGTGTGAACCTGTATAGAAGACTTGGGTGCAAAGAGGTGATCCATTTCTAGCAGAATGTCTATGTGACTTTAAAGAATAACAGCTTGACCTTTAGTGACATGTATCGTTTTATATTCACTTCAGTTAAAAATAAAAATTCATACATTTATAGGTAAAAGATTGCATCATGCTAATGGTCCTCAGGGAAGCCATGAGATTACTAAAACCTTTTTTCTTTCTTTTTTCTGTTTCAGGGTATCCGCTAAAAGAGATCTTACTAGGGATCGGGACATTCATTACACGTTAAAATTTCTAACAGTGTCTTTGCCATAAATTGGCATCCCTTATGTGGTAAGTTGGGGTTACAAGAAACTTGAACACGTACACTAAATGTACTGCTGGGCTCAAGTTTTTTCCTACATTTCTGCCTCTAGTTTGCTCATTTCCCACCCATCTTTGACTGAATTGGCAGAGACCATCTTAAATAAATATCTGACCCTGTCTCTTTACTACTTCAATGCATTAGCTAGAGTCATGCAGCTCTCAGGATGAATGTTTAATCCTCAGCAAGTTACACAAAATCTGCCATGACCCAGCTTTTCTCTAACTGTCCAGACCAACATCTTATCATAACTACTTTTAATGTGCCAGACACTATGCTAAGCTCTTTATGTTGTTCTCTCCTCAACTACTACTTATCCTTGAAGGTAACTTAGATGTTACCCGAACTTCTCTCCTGCAACTTCACATATTCTGGATCAGGTTTTCTTCCTCTAAGCTTTGATAGGACCTTGTACTTTTATCTATGATGGCATTTCCACATTGGCCAGAAATCGTCTGTGTTCCAGTGTGGGAAACCTGCCTTTTTCCAGGAGAGTTAATGTGACATAAAGTAGGAATATTGACTCTGGAACTAGTCCAATTAGGTTTAAATCATGACTCTACCTTTTGCCATCTAAGAGGCCTTGTGCATGTTGCTCAACTTTTCTGTGCCTCAGTGTCCTTACCTGTAAAATAAGAATAATCAAAGTACCTACCGAAGTAGTGCAAGTACTACTTAGTTGTGTTAATTTATGTTAAATAATTACAAAGACATCTGGGCACATAGAAGTTTCTCAGTGTGAGTTGGGCTAACCAATTTGACTGCCTATGACAGGGAAGCCTGATTAACCAGTATAAATTAATTCATTTACATCTTATTTTCTTCATTGATAACAAAAAATGAGGGTAATGGATTCTAAAAGAGTTGTGAATACTTCTGCTTAAGGAATAAATGGACTTCACGGTACCTCACCTAGACTTGTCACAGTACTTACTACTTTCTCCCTCATAGTTTTCTAGTGTTCCTGTTTTGCAGCTTCCTAGAGCAAGTTCAGCTCACATCTTCATTTGCATCTTACCTTTCTTAGTAACTAATAGATGCCTGCTGTATAGCAAAAACTGAAATATTTGCTAAATGAAAACACACAAACAAATCTGCAAGGAATCAAAAGCAGCAGCAAGTCTGATACTATACAAGGGTTAACTGGATTTGTTCTCCTTCAAATTGGGTTCTGTGACCATGAACCACTGTTAATATCTTCAGAAATAAGAAACCTTGTAATGGTAAAATATGACTTCATAAACTTCTATTACAATTCTAGATACTATAAAAATCAAAATATATTCCCACTCTCTAAAATCTTAATTTAACAGAACAGTTAAGCACTCAGCGAGTATTTATAGACTTCATTGCCTTATGGTTGAGATTTGGTGGTAAATATTCAGAATTAGACATTTGCTCTCAAGGAATTTACAAGTGTTTAATGTCGTTCTTCTCCCTTAACCACACTTTAAATATATTTTTATGATCCATCAAAAGAGCCCTGTTCTAATATCAAATGATACATTCCGCTTGTCTGTATACAATATATTCTGTGCAATTCATCTCACAGAGAAGAGCTTACTTTTTTATTAAATTTTGGCAGTTCACTAAATATCAGAAACCTTATATTTAATCAGATATTTTAAAAGCATGTACTGACAAGCTTGTACATAAAATTAAAAAAATTAAACCAACTTAAATGTCTAGTTATATCTAATAATTTCTTACTTCATTTAGCAAACCAGAGAACTCATTGCTTGAAATAAAAGTTTATTCCCCTTTTAATTATAATGACCATTGATTTATGTAAGTTAGTGTTTAACCCTGTGACACTCTTCTAGAGATCACTTGGACTCCGCCAGAACCCTGTTAAGTCCCCATTTCTAAGTGCAAGCCCTCTCTCTCACTCTCGACTATGCTTTTCAGATACTTGCTTTCCTTACTCTTCCACAAATGACTTTGAAAAATAAAAGCCAAAATGGCAATAGAATTTTATACCCAAGCCTCTAGACTCCTCAATGCCTTTACCAATACTCCTTCATCTCCTGCAAATGACTTCCTGGTTTGCTACCTGGGAAATAAATTCTACTCACTTTTAACATACAGTTCTAAAGGTCTATCCTGGAGAATGTCTCTAATGTCACTACACCAAGGTCAAGTTACTTACTCCTCTGGACTTTGTATAACCCAACATAATTATGACATTCCAAGTATTGGAACAAGCTTCTCATGGATTATCTTATTTTATCTGCACAGCAGTCCTGGGAATAATACTTACTGTTTATAGTTCTTATTTTACGGTGAAATAAAAGGTAGCTAAGAAAGGTTAGTTAATGTGCTTGAATTCACTACATGGAGGAGCTATGATTCAAATCTTGGTTTTCAGGACTACAAACCCTGAGTTCATAGCCACCAAGTTACACAACATGTTGTTAAAGCAAATTAACTTGTTTTTCAAGAATTATTTATCCCATGGTCATTCTGTATCTAGGTAGTGAGTTCCTTGCAGAAATTAACCTATCATTGTATTCTTAGTGCCTGGAACCTAATAGGAGTTTAATAAGTATTTGATGGATGGGTTGATAGGTTGGTGAATAGAGTGAGAAGACTGAACGAATGACCAAAATAAACAAAAAACCTAATACCTGTAGATTGCCTTGTGATCTAACATGGAGATAAGATTGAATTCTTAGGTTAGCTTCACCATCCTCTGCCCTGCCTTGTTCAACCTTTGCTACCACCCAGGTATATGAGCATATTGTGATTGCTTTTCACCCCCTGTTATTAATATAACAATTTTCATCACTGGGAGTGCTTATATAATGCATCACTGACATCTGAGTAGTACTTTAATTTCTCATATATTATTCCAGATAATGCATGTGATATTGTGAGGTTCGCATTTCCTAAACAGTAGATTTACTTCCCACAGAGTAGGAACCCAATAACTGTTAAATGCATTAATGAACCAATAAAAAATGAATACATGAAGGACTTCATCAATCAATTAATCAACTAATCAATGCTCAAGTATAGAAACTGTAGGCATTAACTTACTAGCTCATATTTATTTCAGACTATGACTAACAGCATTCATACTCACTGCCCAAATATGCCTCTGTGACAGATACAATGGTAAGCTTCTATTCACACCAAATTGTAAAATCCTTGTAATAGTCCTAGAAGGTATGTGTTTTTAATGCCATCTCAGACATATGCAAATAAAGAATCAGAGAGCTTAAGTTCAATGGATGAAGAAACTAATCATCTATGAAACAGCATAGCTCAGATTCAAACCATGCCATTCTTATTCTTCATTGTCTGCTCTTTCCTTTGTATATGGATTGTAGAATGTCTGTGCTATATGTAAACCACTATAATTCCTACTTTCCTAATGACACTGAGGTTTATTGATCAGACATATTGCTGGAGTTACCATCCCTCATCTTGAGAAAAACATTTAAAAGTATGGAAAAAGCTGAATCCTCAATTACATATAACTTGCTTCATTAAACTGGCTTCAGTTGCTTTCTGAAGATCTGTGGTGAAATAGAGCCAAGTGCTTCCCCTAAATAACTCAGCACAATCTATCATCTGCTCCTTGCCTCCCACCTCCTTCTCCATACATAGAAAGATAATCATGTATTTATGTAGGGCCTTTCATAGCTCAACATATTTTTCAGTGGGTGATTCATTTTGGGGAGGCTTTCTTGTGTTTACCAACTTGGCATATTCTCCAAAGGTAAAACTGCAGCTGGCATATGTACATTTTCTCAGGACAAATTCTGTACACCTGTTTTATCCCAAATTGAGGACTTACTGGTTTTAGATCCATGCTAGACTTATAGAAAGATTGAAAGAAAAATAAAGGAACTTAATGGATTCTGCCTTTAAGGTAATAGGTTGTATCTTTAAAGAAAATGTAATGGCTTTAAATTATTTGTTTTCTTGTGTAAAATATCAATTCACTAATCAAAAGAAAATCTTTTAGATCATTTGCAATATTAGACTATATATGAAATAAGATTTTTGCAATGAATCAATTCCTAAGGTGAGAAATCAGAAATCACTTCAAGAGGGAAAATATAGGGGCTAAATGTTTATGATAAGTTAATTTCTGTAAATGAACATTTACATTAGAATGAATTTTTCTGGTGGCAAAGTTAAAAAAGAAAGACACTTCGTGGCTCATAGCCTTCACTGATAAAAGAAAATAAGATGATCATCAAAAGAGGCAATTTCTTCCTGTGTCCTGCACCAGGAGAATTTCACCTTGGGCAGAGCCAAAAATGAAATGGAGGAGCATGGCCTCTGGATTACACAGTCCTGGATAGGGCCTTTTCCATGCATAAACTTGGATAGATTATTCTACCATTCTAAGGCTCACCTCAGTAAAACTAGTTTGTGTCTAACAACTAATTCAAAAGAGCATATGTAATGCAGTTGGAAGAAAAAATAATAATGCCAACATAATTCCAGATTCACCTAACTTTAGAAACAAAACGTGACCAATACCATTGGAGACCCTGGATGTCTCCTGCAGGTCCCAGCCCCTGTGCTCCTCCTACTCTCAGAAATAATCAAGCTTCTGAATTTTTAGAGTAGCCATTCCCTTACTGTAGAGTTTTCCCCTGAACTGTGTATCCTAAGCAAGACATGGTTTAAGTGTTTGTGTTTATGAAATTTACATACATATAATCATACAAAACACATTTTTCTACAAATTTCTTTTTACACCCAATTTTGAGTTTGAGATTTATCCCGTTAGATGCATTTAACTGTAGTTCAGTAATTTTCACTATTGTGTAGCATTCTGTATGTAACTATAATAAGACAATTTACTTCATCATTTGACTGCAATAATCATTTTGGTTTTTTTCTCCAGTTTTGTTTTGTTTTGCTATTTTAAAAAAATGCTTCTATGAACATTCTTGTCTATTTCTCCTGGTGCACATGTGTGAAAGTATCTACAGGGTACATTCTTAGAAGAGTGATTGCTGGGTCAAAAGTATATAAATCCCGTCCCCAACAATCAGGCCCGATGGACAGCACAACAGGTACTCATATTGGATTAATCACAATGAAGCACTGATAAAAAAAATTATCCCTGCAAGCACCCACAATTTTTTACTTTTCTAGATAATATCAAACTGTTTTCCAGAATGTTAATGCCAATTTACATTTTTACCTGCAGTCCTTATTGCTCCACATTCTAGACAACAGTTGGATATCTTAATTTCTTTAAATCTGATGGATAAAATGTTCATTGTCATTGTAATATGAATTTACCTTATTTCTAATGAAGTTGAGCATATTTTATATGCTTATTGACTACTCATTTCTTAACTTCATCTCTAAAGCTCAAACAGTAACATATTTCATACATGCTTATTAAAAAAATGAAAATATACATGAACCTAAAGTACCCAGCACAAGTCTTGGTACAGAGCTGGTGTTTAATACTTATCAAAACCTACCATTAGTCCCCATTCTCCTTAAAATTGAAAACTATTTGATAAAATGAGGAATAACATCTACCTCTAATGCTTCTTAAAATAAAAGCACCAAAATATTATCCAAATAAATGCTTTTAGAGTGCGCGTATGGCACAAACACAAATTCACACACCAAAACCCATTTATCCAATATTTAAAGTCATTTTTGTAAGAAGCTAAAGTTAAATTGTCCTATTATATTCATGTTTTGCAATCTGATTTTACACAGAGAAAGAACTTGAAAGTAAACAAGAATTTGGCAAATGAGGAAAGTATTCCAAAAAGAAATGTCACAAACTCTAGGGGTTTTGTTTATTTTTTTAACATTTTTGGTCGTGGGAGAGGCTCTGAGTCCAAAATCACAGTGGAGATACACTTTAAATGAGAGTAAGGGTAGTGAAGTCCAATTTTGTATAAATTTTAAAGAAACAAATATTTATGGTAGCAGTAAACCAATAAGCGTTAGTTAAAAAAAAATACTAATGCTGTACAACTTTCTAGATTCTGTAGATCTAGCAACTACTTTTTTTTTTTTTTTTTTGATACGGAGTCTCGCTCTATCCCCCAGACTGGAATGCAGTGGCGTGATCTCAGCTCACTGCAACCTCCACCTCCTGGTTCAAGCGATTCTCCTGCCTCAGCCTCCCAAGTAGCTGGGACTACAGGCGTGTACCACCATGCCCAGCTAATTTTTGTATTTTTAGTCGAGACAGGGTTTAACCATGTTGGCCAGGATGGCCTCTATCTCCTGACCTCGTGATCCACCTGCCTTGGCTTCTCAAAGTGCTGGGATTACAGGCATGAGCCACTGCACCTGACCTAGCAACTACTTTTTGTAATGGTTAATACACAAAACAGTCTTCCAGGAAATCGTCAGGAACTCTTTTTATCAGTTCCCCAAATTTTGGAGAAATTCCAAGAGCAATGTAGCTACTTTTAGGGATATAAAACTAAATCTTAAAAGTGCATATGGGGCTGCTCTGTCTATAGAGCAGCCATTCTTTTTTTCCTTTACTTTTTAATAAACTTACTTTCACTTCGGAAAAAAAAAAAAAAAAGTGCAGATGGGCCGGTGCGGTGGCCCATGCCTGTAATCCTAGCACTTTGGCAGGCTGAGGTGGGCAGACCCACTGATGTCAGAGTTCGACACAAGACTGCCAACATGGCAAAACCCTGTCTCTACCAAAAATACAAAAATTAGCTGGGCATGATGGCGGGGACCTGTAATCCCTGTAATCCCAGCTACTTGGGATGCTGAGTCAGGAGAACCGCTTGAATCCAAGGGCAGAGGTTGCAGTGAGCTGCGATTGCACCACATCACTCCAGCCTGGGCGAAAGAGCAAAACCCTGTCTCTAAAAAAAAAAAAAAAAAAAAAAAAAAAGTGCAGATGATATTACCTTCTTTGAATGATTATTTTTAAATTTAGGGAGCAAATATATAAATTGGCTAAAGAGTAGTAGACACTCAATAATAATTATTTATCCAATAATGCTTTATTCATTCAAGAAATATATATAAAGGGCCTGATATGTGTTGCATACTGTGCTAGGCACTGTAATATATGTATTCCAAAAGAAAAAAATAATAAAACAAACTAAAGCAGAACCAACCCATACTACTGATATATATGTGTATATATCAGCTTCCACATAAATCTTTTCAACAGATGTTGATTTGAATATTGGCATAATGCTCTAGTTATCATAAAATATACATTAACAGAATAAAACTTTCTTTTACCTTTTCTTTCATTAATTATATATTTCAGACTGGCCAGTCATTTTTGTGGAGGCTGTCCTGTGCATTATTGCATGTTTGGCTGCATTCTTGGCTTCCCTTGCTAAATTACTCAATGCAAATGGCACCTCTACCCCACCCTGTGTTGTGATCACAAGAATATTACCAGACATTGCCAAATGTGCCCTGGGGGGCAAAATCACACCCAGTTGAGAGTCACTGGGCTAGGATAAATCGTAGAGCTCAAAGAGCAGTAGATGGAGAAAGAAGACCTAGTATTGAAACTAGCTTTGACCACTGACTACTTCTGCATTTATTTAACTAGGGATAGAATTTAGAAACCAGAGCATGTAGCAGTAGAGCCATGCTACTGGGATTTTCAGAAATTTTGGAAGTTCCATTATGCCCATGAAACAAGGTCTAAACTTTTAAGCACCAGGGTAAAAGTGACTTAGAATGAGTAACAAACTTAAATTCCCAGCTTTAACATCTATATAACTTATGGTCCAGTAACATAAATACCAGATATTGTTATCTGGGGGTCTTTGTTCTTAGCGCTCCCAAGATGAGGGCCGGCTACTCCCAAGATGGGAGCAAGCCTTTTGTTCTCTGACCTGGGGTTCTTGGCCTCACAGATTTCAAGGAATGGAACCTCGGGCCATGCAGTGAGTGTTATAGCTCTATTAGAAGCTGTGGGTCATGGAAAGGAACTGTGGAACCCAGCGACTAGTGTTCAGCTCAATTAGGAATAACCTGGGCACTTAGCCATGAGGGAACAATGGCGAGCCTTTAGCCCTGATCGGGAGCAGCAGTGGGCGCCTCGCTGGATCAGAAGTGGACACCCTGCCGGATCCGGAGGGGTGGAAATCAAAGACAGGTCTGCGACAACAGTGCTCAGCAGTGGTGGACGGCGAGCAAAAGCTCAGCTCCAGCCAGAACAAACACAGACCGGAAGAGTGTGCAGTTGCAAGATTTAATAGAGTGAAAACAGAGCTCCCATGCAACGGGAAGGGACCCAAAGGGGCTTGCCACTGCAGGCTAGAAATGCCTGGCTTTATATCCCAATCATTGTCCCTCCCACTGTGCTCTCAGGCGATAGATGATTTGACTATTTCTTTACCTCCTGCTTTTAGCCTAATTGGTATTTTAGTGAGCCCTCTTTACTACCTGATAGGTCGGGTGTGAGCTGACTTACAAGCCCGGTGTTTAAAGATGGGTGCGGTCTCCTTCCCCAGCTAGGCTTAGGAATTCTTAGTTGGCCTAGGAAATCCAGCTAGTCCTGTCTCTCAATATCTTATGTTGGTGTACTCTCTGTGTCATTTTCTAAAACACAGTTTCCTTGTCTGTAAAAGGAGGGGTGTGTCAGGCCTCTGAGCCCAAGCCTGCACGTATACATCCAGATGGCCTGAGGCAACTGAAGAATCATAAAAGAAGTGAAAATGGCCTGTTCCTGTCTTAACTGATGACATTATCTTGTGAAATTCCTTCTCCTGGACAATGAGTCTCAGAAGCTCCCCAGCTGAGCACCTTGTGACCCCCGCCCCTGCCCACAAGAGAACAACCCCCTTCGACTGTAATTTTCCACTACCCACCCAAATCCTATAAAACTGCCCCACCCCATCTCCCTTTGCTGACTGCTTTTTTGACCCAGGTGATTCAAAAGCTTTATTGCTCACACAAAGCCTGTTTGGTGGTCTCTTCACATGGACGTGCGTGACAGGGCGACTTCTCAGTTCCCAAGTTTGGGTTGAAAACCCAGCTAAGGATTTCTATGAGTCCATATATTTACTTCTTTGTCATCCTTCACCATACATTGTTATAATTAATTATTTGTTTGTGTTTCCCTCTAGAGTGTAAGCAGAGACAATGTCTTATTAACCACTGTATCACAAGTTCCTAGCCCAGTTTTTGACATGTGATAAACATTAATCGAGTGAATGATTTTATGAATCTCTGTTTTCAAGTTTGTTGACTCAGCTTCCTCTCTTTCTCTCTCTCTCTCTCTGTCTTTCTTGCTTCAACATTTGCTTTCATTTTACTACCAATATTACCAGAATCCATAATGACAGACAGGTTATATAAACAGCCACAGTTTGTTATGATTTTAAGGGCTTCTGCACTTAACCTAGTCATTTCTACAGTTGCTCACCAGTAAATGGAATTCACAGAACAGGAGACAGAGACTTTCATCTGAATATTAGGAAGCTTATTTTAAATAAAAATATCTCTGAGAAAGGAAACTCAGTTTGCTCATTTAAAAACTGTACTCAGTTGTACCCACTACATAGAATTGTTGTGCCAATAAAATGAGTCCTTTCCAAACTAAAATCTCTAAGAAAATGGGAGAGTTTTCTTTTGTTTTGGCTTATAATTAAGTGGAAGTGACTGATATCATGTATTTTCTCAATAATCAAACTGGCCTAGGAAATCATGGAATCTTCTTCAGACCACTTACTGAGAACAAAACACCCCCTGAAGAATGTTCATGATAGATGTTCATTTAAGTACTATTATCAGCAATTCTTATGTCAGGTTCAAGAAAAATCCCAGCCCATGAGTAGAGCAGCATGAAGAAACTACGGATTTCCCAAGACCAACTCTGACCTTCTTGGTATTATTCTTATCTTGGTTGTAATATTAAAATGTGGAACGATTAAGGCTTCTCAATGAAGCTTCTAAACGAGATGATCTTAACACAGACACAGAAAACTAGGAGAGAGCTTGAGACTAGAAACCAGAGGAATTAGTTTGGAAACCTAGCACTACCACTTACTAGCTATGTGATTCTGAACACATGGTACAACTCTCTGAATCTCACTTTCCTCAATGTAAAATGGGCATAATAAAAAATACCTTAGAGAGATGGGATGAAGCTAATATAAATGAAAATTCAAAGTGACTAGAATGTTAGGAGAAATGCCATCACAGAAAATAAATGGATAAAGTAATGTCTTAGTTTATTTGGGCAACTATAACAAAATATCTTAGACTGGTTGGCTTATAAACAACAGAAGTTTGTATCTCACAAGTCTGGAGGCTGGGAAGTCCAAGATAAGAGTGCTAGTGTAGTCTGATTTTGGTGAGGATCCTCTCTGCAGACCACTGACTTCTTGCTGGGTCCTCACATAGTAAAGGGGCACAGGAACTCCTCTGGGCCATTTTTGTAAAGCTACTCAGCCCATTCATGAGAGTTCTGCCCTCGTGATCTAATCACATCCCTAAATGCCCAACCTCCTAATATCATTTTGGGGGATAGGATTTTAACATATAAATTTGGGCAGCAGGGGATACAAATATTCAGACTATAGCAAAGGGTAAATAATTGAAAATATTTTAACCTAAGGTGGCTTATTTGATCTGTTGGCTTGTTTTGAGAATCTTTTTCTTAGGGATGAAAAGAACACTGCAAGATTGGCTCAATTTCTATACTTCTGTTTAAGAGAGAGGAGAAGAGCAGAAGAAGGGAGGTGAGAGAAGAGAGAAATTACAGGCTGGTGCTTAGTCTCATGGCTTAGCAAACAGTCTGGGGATGGAAGAGCTTCTTTTTGTGAGGAAAGAAAAAAAAAGTCTCCTAAAAATAGTTTTACCTATCTTGAGATAATTACAACCCTTGAGAATTAGAAGTATTAAGAGGTACATAGAGCCATACACAACCTCCAGAGTGTGAGTCAGCTCTAACTCACCCCATCTCTCTCCTAGTTTGTGTAGTTAATTACAAACTTTCTCATCCTAACAAAATCATTAAGAGTCAGACACAGAGGACAGGGCATGGGAAATTAATTCCATTAATTTCATTTAGAAAAGTAGGATATTTGTGGAAGAGGTTGTCTGTCTGTCAAATCGCTAAAGCAAACAGGTTCGTGGTTTTTAGTTACTAAATCAAATGTATGAATCATCTAAGAGATAGTGTGCTCCAAGGAAATAGGGATTTATAGTCTCAGCTCCAACACTAAAAAAAGTGACTAGGGATACCATTTTAGCCCTCTAGAGTGGGTTGAATACTGTACCCACAAATTTATGTCTACTCAGAACCTAAAAATGTGAAATTTTTGGGAAATAAGGTATTTGTTGATATAATTAATTAGTTAAGGATCTTGACGTTAAGTCACTCTTGATTTAGACTTGGCCCTAAATTCAATGACTAGTGTTTTTATTAGAAGAGGATAGGACACAGAGAGACATGGAGAGGAGAAGGTCATGTGAAGACAGAGGTAGACATCAAAGTAGTGTACCTAGAAGTCAAGCAACACCAGGTATTGCTGGCAATCACCAGAAGCTAGGAGAGAGGCATGGGGCATTTGTCTCTCAGAGACTTCATAAGGAACAACTCCTGCCAATAACTTGATTTCAGGCTTCTGGCCTCCTGAATGGTGAACAAATGCATTTCTGTTGCTTTAGGCAACCAAGTTTGTTCTCTTTTGGTATGGCAGCCAGGGAAGACACTAATATACTTTCCCTGTCCTTTAACTGTCTAATTTGTGATACACTGAAATCGAGTTATACATTTATCAACTATTGATTCACGAATTTCGCTGTATTTGGGCTGGGGTAACAATAATAGAAAGACATAGACCTGCCATCAAAGAGTTTACATAGCAGTTGGGAACTGAGACGTTAATTAGAAAATAAAAAACAGCCCTGAAGGGGCTATCATAGTAATCAGTAGAAGGTGTTAGGGGAAAATGAGGTAACATGGAGGTGGGTAGAGATGGAGTCCTGGGAAAGGCAAGGAAAGCCTTCAAAAAGAGGGACCACTGGGATAAGCACTGGGACAGAGGAGGGGGTGTCAGCCTGGTGGCCTCTTATGGAGTAAGGACTTTATGCAGTTTGCTATTTCACAAGAATTAAGTGGTAGGAATGGGAAAGTAGGGAGACAAGAATAGAAGACAAGGTCAAATCATGAGTGAGGTACTTAAAAGCCTCACAATTTCACTGCAAGAATGTTGTTATTGATTGAATGTTTGTGTTCTCCCAAAACTCATATGTTGAAATCCTGGCCCCCAAAGTTATGGTGTTTGGAGATAAGGCCTTTGAGAGATCATTAGATCATGAGAGTGGAGCCCTCATAAATGGGAGTAGTGCCTTTTTAAGAAGACACAAGGAAGCTTCCATTCTCTCTCTTTTTTTCTGCGTTCCATCATGTGAGAATACCACAAGAAGATGGCCAGCTACAAGTAGGAAGGGAGCCCTTGTTAGACACCAGGTATGCTTTCTCCTTTATCTTGGACTTCTCAGCCTCCAGAATTTTGAGAAATAAATAAATATAAATAATGAACCTCTGTTGTCACGCCACCCAGACTATGGTATTTTTGTTTTGGCAACCCAAGCAGACTAAGACAGGAATGAACTTCAGTTTACTCATCTGTAAAATGTGTGGAGTGGACAAAGTCATAATTTTACCCCCAATTTCAAGATTCTGAAGATCTAGGAAGGTTAAAATTCTTGAAAGTTGTTTCAATTTTGGCTCTGACACCAGGATAACTAAGCGTCAGATCTGTTCAATCAGAAATAACTATCACATGAGTAATATAAAAAAAGTATATGTAGTTAAGTGGCTGATTAACTAAAATGCATTTCCGTGAAGTTCGGTACCAAAATGTTAGTTTAAGGAAACCAACACCTCCATTCAATCCCTGCACCTGAGTTTGTGTCTTAGTGAAAGATACACAGATCTTTGGCAATGCACAATCCAACTAAGAAGTCGTTTTGATTTTTGTTTAGGGACATAGAGTAAGTTTCAGTCCTATTCTGACATAACAGTATTAGAATACTGAACACGTAATCAATATGCAGTGAAGGATTTAAAAGACCATTGAGGTAACCAAGATGAAATCCAGCCCCCTACCTAAACACACACACACGTACACACACATACAAACACACACACAAACACACACACACATTTTGTGGGACAAACTTTTGGAGCTTAAAATCCTGCATTCTGATCCAGGTTCTGCAATTTACTGACATGTTTCCTTGGAGGAAACACTTAACTTCTCTGAACATCAGTATCTCAGCTATGAAATGGAAGAGTATATACCACAATGAACAGTGAGTGTGAAAATTTATGAAATTATATCTTTTATCCCTCAACTACAGTGATAGATTACACATTTTCAGTGTTCAATAAATGATACCCTTTAAATTAGCCTTATAGATACAACATACCAGAATCTCTGGGATAGCTAAAGCAGTATTAAGATAAAAGTTTATAGCACTAAATACCCACATAAAAAGGTTAGAAAGATCTCAAATTAACAACCTAACCTCATACCTAGAGGAAGTACAAAAACAATAGCAAACCAACTGCAAAGCTAGCAGCAGAAAAAAAGTTACCAAAATCGGAGCTTCAACGGAATAAAATGGAGATGCGAAAAACCATAAAAAAGATCAATGAAACCAAACGTTGGTGTTTTGGAAAGGATAAATAGATTGATAGACCACTAGCTAGACCAATAAAGAAAACAAGAGAGAAGATCCAAATAAACACAATCAGAAATGACAAAGGAACAGTACCACTGACTCCACAGAAATACAAAAAACCCTCAGAGACTATTACAAACACCTCTACGTACACAAACTAGAAAACCTAGAAGAAATTAATAAATTCCTGGAAACAAACAAACTCCTAAGATTGAGGGAGGAAGAAATTGAAACCCTGAACACAGCAATAATGAGTTCCAAAATGGAATCAGTAATAAAAAAACCTATCAATTAGAAAAAGCTCTGGACCACATAGATTCACAGTCAAATTTTACCAGATGTATAAAGAAGAGCTGGTAAGAATCCTACTGAAACTATTCCAAAAAACTGAGGTGGAGAGATTCTTCCCTAACCTATCACATGAGTCTAGAATCATTCTGATACCAAAACCTGGCAGACACACAATAAATAAAAGTTCAGGCCAATATTCAAGATGAACATAGATGCAAAAATTCTCAACAAAGTACTAACAAGCAGAATCCAGCAGCACATCAAAAAGTTAATTCACCATGACAAAACTGGCTTTATTCCTGGGATGCAAGGTTGGTTCAACATAGAAAAATCAATAAATGTGATTCATCACATAAACAGAACTAAAAAATAAAAACCACATGACCATCTCAATACATGCAGAAAAGACTTTAGATAAAATTCAACATTTCTTCAAGTTTAAAACCCTCAACAAACTAGGCATTTAAGGAAAATATATTAGAATAATAAGAGCTGTGTATGACAAACTCATAGTCAACATCACACTGAATGGGAAAAAGCTGAAAGCATTCCTTATGAGAATGAGAATAAGACAAGGATGCCCACTCTCACTATGCTTATTCAACTTAATACTCTAACCGGAGCAATCAGGCAAGAGAAAGAAATAAAAGGCATGCAAGTAGGAAGGGGGGAAGTCAAACAATCTCTCTTTGAATATAATATGATTTTATACCTAGAAAACTTGATAGTCTCTGCCCAAAAGCTTCTAGATCTAATCAACAACTTCAGCAAAGTCTCAGGACTCAAAACCAATGTATAAAAATCAGTAGCATTTCTATACACCAACATCATCCAAGCTAATGCCAAATCAAGAATGCGATCCCATTCACAATAGGCACACAAAAAAATACCTAGGAATATAGCTAAGCAGGAAGGCATCTGATCTCTACAATGAAAATTAAAAAACACTGCTGAAAAAATATCAGACGATACAAACAAATGAAAAAAATATTCCATGCTGATGGATTGGAAGAATCAATATTGTTAAAATGGCCATACTCTGTAATGCACTTTACAGATTCTATAAATTCCTATCAAACTACCAATGATTTTTTTTACAGAACTAGAACAAAAATTATTCTTAAATTCATATGGAACTAAAAAAGGAGGGCAAATAGTCAAAGCAATCATAAGCAAAAAAGAACGAAGCTGGAAGCATCATACTAGCTGACTTCAAACCATACTACAGTAACCAAAACAGCCTGTTACTGGTACAAAAATAGACACAGAGACCAATGGGACAGGTTAGAAAACCCAGAAATAGAGCTGCACACCTACAATCATTTGATCTTTGACAAAGTTGACAAAAACAAGCAATGGGGAAAGGACTTCCTATTCAATAAATGGCTGCTCTGTGATAACTGGATAGCCATATACAGAAGATTGAACTTGTACCCTGTCTTTTCACCCCATAGAAAATCAGCTTGAAATGGATTAAAGGGTTCAATGGAAACCTAAAACGATGAAAACCCTAGAAGAAATCCTAGGAAATTCCATTCCTGACATAGGCCCTGGCAAAGGCTTCATGATGAAGACTCCAAAAGCAATTGCAACAGAAAGAAAAATTGACAAGTGTGACCCAATTAAATTAAAGAGCTCTCAACAGCAAAAGAAACTATCAATATAGTAAACAGAAAACATACAAAATTGGAGAAAATATTTGCAAAGTATGCATTTGACAAAGGTCTAACATCCAAAATCTATAAAGAACTTAAACAAATTAACAAGCAAAAACCAAATAACCCCATTAAAAAATGGGCAAAGGACATGAACAGGCACTTCTCAGAAGAAGACATAAATGTTGTCAACAAGCATATGAAAAAATGTTCAACATCACTAATAACTAGAGAAGTACAAATCAAAACCACAACGAGATACTATCTGATACCAGTCAAAATGGCTATCATTAAAAAGTCAAAAAATAACAGATTCTGTCAAGGTTGTGGAGAAAAGGGAATGCTTATATACTGCTGGTGGGAATGTAAATTAGTTCAGCCACTGTGGGAAGCAGCTTGGAGATTTCTCAAGGAACTTGAAACAGAACCACCATTTGTCCCAGCAATGCCATTATTGGGTATGTACCCAAAAAGAATATAAATTGTTCTACCATAAAGACACACCCATGCATATGTTCATCACAGCACTATTCACAATAGCAAATACATGGAACCAAGCTCAATGTTGACGATGAACTGAATAAACAAAATGTCGTATGTATACACCATGAAATAATATGTGGCCATAAAAAAGAATGAAGTCACATCCTTTGCAGCAACATTAACGGAGGTGGAGGCCATTATCCTAAACGATCTAACTCAAGAACAAAAAAACAAATGCCACATGTTCTCACTTATATGTGGGAACTAAACATTGAGTATACATGGATACAAAGAAGGGAACAATAGACATCAAGGCCTACTTGATAGTGGAGGTTAGAGGGAAGGAGAGGATCAAAAAATCACCTATTGGGTACTATGCTTATTACCCGGATAACAAAATAATTTGTACACCAAACCCCCATGACACACAATTTTTCCATGCAACAAACCTGCACGTGTACCCACTGAGCTTAAAAGTTGGAAAGGAAAAAATAGCCTTATCAATGAAGTTCAGAACTTCAAAAATCCCTAAATCTTAGATACTTTTTTAAAAAGGAGGTATATTAAAGAAAACATTTAAAGATCCTGAATATAATCCTGAACCACTACATGTACTGAAATGGCTCAATTAATGCTAGCTCTTATAGAAACTTGTAAAAATTACTTATAATTTGTTTCTACCAAGGAGCATATGAGGGTTGTGTTGGAATTTTCCCAGGAATCTGGGGCTGTGTCAAACATCCAACCTACTAATAATGTTACCCAACTGCAACTGCCTTATTATCTTCTGTCCCCTACCCCTGCAGAGAGAGAGAAAAAAAGTGCATTTAGGAATTACATTTGTATCTGAAAGGGATGACCCTTCATGTTTTAGAATAACCACAATTTCACATCAGCAGTCAGTGATGTAACAATTAGGGCTTTTTGAATGGCAGGCTAAGGTGTAGAACAGGGCACTTGTTTTAGAATAACCACAATTTCACATCAGCAGTCAGTGATGTAACAATTAGGGCTTTTTGAATGGCAGGCTAAGGTGTAGAACAGGGGACTTGTCTTTGAATCAGGTAAACTTGATTTCCCAACTGATATGATTTGGCTGTGTCCCTACCCAAACCTCATCTTGAATTATAGCTCCCATAATCCCCATGTGTCATGGGAGGGACCTGGCAGAAGGTAATTGAATCATGGGGGCAGGTTTGGCTGTTGCTGTTCCTGTGATAGTGAGTAAGTCTCAAGAGATCTTACAGTTTTATAAAGGGTTGTTCCCCTGCACGTGCTGTCTTGCCTACTGCCATGTAAGATGTGCTTTTGCTCCTCCTTGGCCTTCCACCATGATTGTGAGGATTTCCCAGCCAGGTGAAACTGTGAGACCACTAAACCTCTTTTTTTTTTTTTTTTTTTTTAGGCAGAGTCTCACTCTTGTTGCCTAGGCTGGAGTGCAATGGCATGATCTCAGCTCACTGCAACGTCTGCCTCCCAGGTTCAAATGATTGTCCTGACTCAGCCTCCCAAGTAGCTGGAATTACAGGAGCCTGCCACCATGCCTGTATAATTTTTTTTTGTATTTTTAGAACAGACAGGGTTTCACCATGTTGGCCAGGCTAGTCTCGAACCCCTGACCTCAGGTGATCTGCCCACCTTGGCCTCCCAAAGTGTTGGGATTACAGGCATGAGCCCACTGCACCCCACTAAATCTCTTTTGTTTTTTTTTTTTGATAAACTACCCCATCTCAGGTATATCTTTATAGTAGTATGAAAATGGAGTTATACAGCATCCTAATTCTGCCACAAGTCATTGGAAGAGTAAGTTAACTCTTTGGTAATCTGATAATAATAATGACCACTTCATGAAGATAATATTGTCATCACATGAGATAATGCATGTGGCAACACCTAGATTAATGCCTTAGATACAGTAAGTAACAGAGTAATAAATGTTTTAAATAGTATATGCATAAATACTACCACTTTTACCCTTTTTGTGGATGTAGACTTGTATATTTAAATAGTAAAGAAAAAAATGAAGAAAGTTTGAACACTATATTGTTGACCTATTTACACAGACATAATGCCTAGCACAACTACTTGTACTCAGCTTCACATTCTATTATACACAATTGGGCAGTTTGTTGTAATTTTATGTTTTTTACGGGGTTGGGTACTCTGTTGATGGTAAGCAATAAATACAATAGAGCACATTTTATGCTGTTTATAGGTCTAAAATATCTCATTTTAAAAATTGGTCAGACTATAATTTATAGCGGCATATGTTAAGTTACCTATAGCCTAAGGTTCAGAACATTTTTTCTTGGTGAAGCAGCCCTTTATTTTTACCACCCATCCACTATTTTTTAGGATTTTATAAATTTTACATAATACAAAACACAGGCATCTAATACAAAGCCAGAATGTCTGTCGGTATTACACACATATACCCGTGAACATACACACCTATTAACAAGCCCTTGAAAAATTGACATAGTAACATTGGTTATGTGCAGAAAATCTGTATCATTGTATATGGCTTACATGTAATGAATAGAATTATATAATACATGTGGCTTTTTAAAAATTATTCATATGCTGTAAATAAATGATATTATTGCAGTTGCCCAGGGATTTTGCCTCAGTCTCACTCAGCCTGGTCTTTAAAAATCAGGAGAGCACAGATAAAATGTACTATCTTTAGTCGTAGAAGTACTAATTCTGGACCACAAATATTTTCTTGTTAATTCAGTGTAGATCCAAGGTGACTACAATGTGAGGATGGATGGTGCTCTGTCTCATCAATAGTACTATTATTGTTTCTATGGCACCAAGGGCCAATCACTCAGAAAATCTCTATCTCTGCTGCATTTATGTTTCTGAAAACTTTATTTCCCAGAAGGAGGTAAAAAGGTAAATAATTATAAAAATGCTGGCCTTAGGTGGTTATTTTTAAGTAACTATTGTAAACGACATGTAATGTTCAGACCCAAATTTAATATATTATAATAAAAAGAATGTAGGATTTGGCACACAGTAGGCTTAGTACTTGCCTTTACCTTTGTAGGAAAAGTTGAGCATGTTCTATAGACTTTGATCTCAGAGTCTTATTCTGTAATATGAATAGAACAGTACTTCCCACATAGATCATCCTGACAGTGACCTTTGGATAAGTTCCCTGAAAAGTTTCTCATGCAGAACCTTTCCTTCTTTCCCTTGAGCGTCCTCAAGTTAACTGTGGCAATTACTATAGGAATGGGAAAGGCAATGGGCCTGGGAAAGGGTGACCTGGATACAACTTTGTTTCGTATCAGCTAATATTTGTTTCACCTGGACAAGTCACTTAATCCCCCCAAACTATAGTTTATTCATTATAAGAATTAAAAAAAAAGAAAGAAACAACAGTATCTAGTTTGACTACCTCACTAGTCTGTTGAAGGTAAATTAAAAACTAGATTTCAAAGCGCTTTGTAAACTGTATCAAGAAGCCTTTAAAGAATATAGCTCAGCCGTTAACTGGAAGGTATTTTCAAGTTGTTTTGTTAAATAAAGAATGTTGATATGTAGTGAACTATGTAAAAAAAGTTTGTTTTTAAACAAGTAATGATAAAAACTATACATATACCCATATATAAAAATATATTTATATATTTATATAATATATTTGTATCTATATATTTACATCTAAATATATCTGTAGATATGTATTGGTGTAATTCCATCAGCACAGATAAATATCAGCATTGCTTACATGGGCCAAGTAAAGTAGGGATGGTGGAAGAAGAGAAAAGGTTAGCATTGGAACAGCAAACAAACCAAAAAACTTACAAAACAATTTCCAGAAAATAAAAACTATCTATATCCAAGATAAGTATATGTGTGTGATATAATCTATGTTAATCTGAAGTGTATGAATATTATTTGCATGTTTATGTTTATAGACATAAACTATACAAGGATAATCACCAAACATGAATGGTAGACATCTCAGAGTGAAATGTGGCAGAGGAATATGTTTCCATTTTATTCCTAAACATAGTTAGTATTTTATATTCTTGTTCAATGAGCACATATTACTTAGAAAATTTTAAATATGCACGTTTTTATTGTGAAAACCAAAACAAAATTACCAACAAATCCAAGGAATTATTATCCACTATACCAGGCATTTTTTTTAACCTATGTTCCATTATTTCTCCTGCTTTTCCCACTGCAGACATTACTAGTTGATTATAACCTCCTTTCTTATTAAGACTAAACACAGCCTCATAATTCTTCCTCACACAGTGCAACAGGAGCTACTATTAAGTAATGAGAGATGGTCATGATAAATGAAATAATGACTTGCTATTGAGGCATTAATTTACTTCCTTGAAGGGACAACCCTGGATTTTCATTTCTGCAACTGCACTGCATCAGCAAAATTTTAGCCAACTGTGTGTGGAATAAATGAGTATTTTATTTAGATAATAATTATAATTTAAACAATGGTTATTTTCAATAACGATATTAGACAGTAATTGATACAAAATTAATCGTTCACATACGTCAATCTTCAACAGGAAAAAGTCATTGAAAATAAAATGATATTTAAAAAGAAAGCCTCTAACATAGAAAAATTGGACACATATATCAAAATTGTGTAGTTATGCTCCCATTACTGTTGAAGAAACAGTAAGATACTCACTTATTGTTAAAGTAGATTATGATCTCAGCAAGATTATTTAAAGAAAGATCTCCAACGTGACACTGCTCTCTAAATTCATAGTAATTTTCTGTAAAGAACTGTACCTCAGACTCATTTGCCTTATCTGTTAAATGGAACTAAAGGAATCCCTCTCCTTCAAAAGATTGAACACATGTGAAAATGCTCTGCTAACAACTAAGCAGGATAAAAATGTGAATAATTGTGATTATAGATGGTTATTACTGCATGTGATTTATATGAAAAAAATGACATGCTAGTCATGATAAAACCTAGTAGAATTTGGTAAAGGTGATCCTCTTGGGAGAAAAAAATGGTTTCTGTACTAATAACTTAGTTTGTCATTTGATTAAGCATCTTCAAATTGTTTAAAAGTATAATTAATTATGGATGTAGACAGTTGCATCCTGTAACTGTGCAGTAAATGCTTGTGGTGTTGAATTGCGTAGAGGAGGGCCAGGAGTATATATCTTCAGATTCTTGCTTTATTACAATTCAAAATTCAAACACTTTGAAGCCTTCTATTACTATTTGTAAAATGAAAAAAAATCAAGACATATGGAATAAAATGGTTAAGAATACAATCTGTTTTGGTAGTTTGAAGAAGTGACTCATTTGATTATAGCGCCCTAAATTTCTTTCCATCAGTAAACATTGTCTGATCAGCCATAGTATATAAACCTTGTGTTGGGTAATTTAGGAAACACTGTGGGAGAAACAAAATACTCAAAAGAAGTTAAATTTGAGGTGGTTCATAAGTGTCTCTATAAAGATAAAATGCATTGTGGGGGCTCAGAATTTAGTTATGTCTAACATATATTGATTCAATAATTACCTTGCTCTAGGAACTGTGGTAGTTTAGGATACAGTTCTTCCAATCAGATAGATTTTAGAGAAAAGAAATAATAAGCTATTAGGACTGCACAAGACGATATTTCAGAAGGAATCCTAGGGCATATAGCTGTACAGAGAAGACCATCCCTCTGCCATCTACGCCCACCAACTCTATTAGTTCAGCTAGGAATGACTTTTGGAATGAGGTGATCCTTCAGTTGTGTTTTAAAGGAGAAGAAAATGGCTGAATCAGAGAAACTGAGCCAAAGAATGAAAGGGTGAATCAAAGAAAAGGTAAAAGTAAAAGTAAAATTTCATTCAACTCAAATTTTGAAGTCAGTGCCTTTTAAATATATTAGGTTATGTAAAGGTTGATTATCCAGTGAGATACATATTATTTTGTCCCACTATTATTTTATTTTCATTTTTATGTATGCTCTATAGAGACCCAGTTTCATTAAATGGTAATGTCAGGATTGGAATTCAATTCCATTCTAACCTCTCTTTCTTTCATTTTCTTAATATTAACACTTTTTATTTCAGCTCCTTCATTCTTCCAGACATGGAAGAAGAAATAAGCATAAAAGCCTTAACTTTTCTTTCTAGTAGTAAGAATGAGATTAGAAGTTTTCATACTAATTTTTCTTTTTTTTTCCTAAGACCAAGATAGAGACTTACATAAGGGTTAGTCATGCCTAAGGAAAAAGTTAATAAAATGCTGATCACTGACCATTCCTTATCAAGTTGAGTTCCTAACCAGTCCTCACTTTCTTTCAGAAAATATTACCCAGTAGAAAGAATATTTTCAAACATCATGCCAGAATGTCTTGTAGAAGAGGGGTAAACAAGTAAATATTCTCAGTGAATGTAATAAATGCTACAATAGAGACCAATACAAAGTGCTGAGGAAATGACCAACACTATGAGAATGCTAGGGAGGGTGTCATGGGAAGATCATATTTAAGAGACGTTTTAAGGGATAAACAGGCATTTCTTTTTCAATGTGGAGGGGAAATAGGACACATTCTATTTTGAGTGAACCTCTTAAATGAAGATACCACAATGTGTCTGAGTGAAGTTTTGAGTGAAGAATAATCAACCTGCAGTCTACCATTAATGGGCATTCAGATTGATTCCTGTCTTTGCTATTGTGGATAATGCTACAATAAACATATGCATGCATGTGTCTTTATGATAGAATGATTTGTATTCCTTTCAGTATATACCCAGCAATGGGATTGTTGGGTCAAATGGTATTTTTGTTTTTAGGTCTTTGAGGAACTGCCACACCATTTTCCACAATGGTTGAACTAATGTATGTGCCCACCAACAGTGTATAAGTGTTCCTTTTTCTCCACAACTTCACTAGCACCAGTTATTTTTTGACTTTTTAATAATAGCCATTCTGACTGGTGTGAGATGCTATCCTTAGCAAACGGACGAATAGTTAACAGGAACAGAAAACTAAGTACCCCATGTTCTCACTTATAAGTGGAGCTAAATGATGAGAACACATGGACCCATAGAGGGGGACAACAGACAATGGGGCCAATCGGAGGGTGGAGGGAGAGGATCAGGAAAAACAACTAACGGATACTAGGCTTAATTCCTGGGTGACGAAATAATCTGTACAACTAATCTTCATGACACAAATTTACCTATATAACAAACCTGTACAGGTACCCCTGAACTTAACATCTTAAAAAGACATGAATTTATGGGACTGTCTAAACTGCTAGGTAGCATCTGATTGTGTCCTCCCTAGTATTCCAGAAGTTGAGCACAGGAAGACTGCTTCAGGGCTATTTGGAAAGACATGATGATGGCCTCATTTCTCTTCTAGCATGATGGATCAGTATCAGTACAGGATGCACTGGTTGACCGACCATTAGTGGAACAAAATCACTTCAAGGACCTTCATAAAGGATAGCTGCTCTCTCTAACTCTATCTCTTTCTCTGTCTCTAGACACACCACATATATACACACACACTCTCTCTCTCTCACACACACACACTCACACACTCATGATGGTTTCTATGGCTATGTTGCCACATAGTCTGAAAACTGCATGTGACATATATCTTGATTCTGCCACTTAAGAATTTAAAGGTCAAGGGTAAGCTAATCCATCTTTCTGAGAATTCATTTTTCCTCATTTGTTAACTAGAGTGATAATACCTCCCTGCCAAGGTTGCTGCGATAATTTAAATATAAAAATAGATTTGATAACCCCTGGCATAATCTAACAGACAGTAAGTGCTCAGCATTTTTTTCTTCCTTTCACTTTCTTGAGGGAAAATTTTTGTAGCTTACAGATTCTTGGTCACCAATACCAGGAAAATAAATTACTTCTATGTACGACAGAAAGAGGTAAAAATACAGATGATGTGTACCATATTCTTAGTGTGCATGAATACCACTGACACTTATTAGGTCCACCCCAGGTGCCAGACACTGGTTAATCTTGGAGACACAGGACCAGTGAAGGAAAAGACCCCTTCCTCAAACAACTCACAACCAATTAAGATCAAGAAATACATGAATCACAGAAAGTTAGGTAATAAAATGGAATTAAACTCAGAATAAGACTTGCTTACAAAATCTATAATGGGTCCAATACCCATTAACATGTCTACAACACCTATTGCTAGATGATATTTAAGTAGTGAATGAATTTAGACTAAATACTTGATACAGTTCTGCGTCACTCAGGAATTCAGTTTGTGTGGGAGTATTTTCAGACCAAAGGGCATGAATTAATTGCACTAACCCCAAATAAAAATGCATTTGAGAAAACAGGAAAGTATTGTCATCTGAGAGACAGTTATTTTTTCAACTTAATTTTGTTTCTTATTTTGTCTGTCTTTTCTGAAGATTAAGACTAACTCCTTTTTTTCCCTCTTAGCTTTGATGTATGTGTGTAGGGGCTGTAGATGGTATAAAAATAACGTTTTCAATAATATATGCTCTTTCAGATAAACAGAACTCTCTCAGTAAAATACATATGAGAACATTCCTTCCAGCCACCAGCTGTGATTCATTTATTACCCAGTTGGCCAAAGTTCTTGGGAAAAGAGAATGGTCATTTCTCTCAACATCCACCCCCACAATTCTCCAACTTTTACCCCTTTTCCGTAATAATGCCAATCATACCTTATTAGATATTTTCTTACCCCCACCCCACAACCAGAGTGTTTTCCTGCTCCACCTGCTCTTCTGACTCAGCGATTATTTTCTGGTATTATAAAAGCAGACCAAATTTTGCTTAGAAAATTTAAAGTAAAATCTTTAAAAGGGGACTGAATGTTGGTGCTTATTGATAGGTACTATCATTTTTCTCAAGCAACATTCCTTTGATGTGGCAGACATAATTTCAAAGGATTTTAGAAACATTCAGATGTTCAACTGACCTTATACATTGGTACAGTACAATCAAGAATTCCACTGTGAGCCTTCCTTTTGCCATAAATAATACAGTATGCAGTCAATAGAGGACAGACAACAAAAAAGGGAACTATTAGAAGGGGTCTGCAGTAATTTTTAATGTCACAGTATGTTTCTGATGCTATCAAAGACTTAACCAAGAAAATGTTCAGATAAGAATTAAAATTTATATAGTAAGTCAGTTTGTTTTGATTTAATTAGAATTATAATTAATGATGGAGGTGAAACAAACTGAGGTAGGAACTTGGCAATAATGTCTATACTCCAGCTTTAGAAAGGTACAATTCAACGATCATAATAACCAGAAATATGCTAATGGAAGTTTAAGAAAAAATGCAAATGGCTCTGCTGGGATGGATATTTTGAATGTCAGTACTACTTCAGATTAATACTATTAAGACAAAAGGTGCGGTCCATAGATGCAAGTACAGTAGGGTCTTGTGTTCTGAATGAGAAATGTTAGGAATTAGAAAGATTTCTTCCCTTTAAGTATGTTCACATTTAAGTATGTTCCCTTTAAGTATGATCACATTTCTTTCTAAACCAACTTTCAGGGATACTTATAGAAGCCTTAAAGAAAATATGCTGTGTTTAAATTATATGAGCATAAAGCTGAAGGGGCCTTTGTAGTCTAATATTTTACAGATAATGGGAGTAAGAGTTAGAGAAATGAGGGAACTCTACTATCGTCATACCGATAGTTGGTAGCAACACTAAAATATAAATAGACCTCATTCCACTACTGCAAAAATATATTGGCAGCTTGGAGCTCCTATTTCTACAAATCCAACTTGCCCCTGTGCTAGAAATCATATCCTCACCTCTTCCTTCATCACCACCATAAATTGCAGTTGGAGGCATTCACTGAAAAATAAAAGCAAGGAAGATAAATTAAAAGTCAAATATTCCTGTTACGTTCTGATGCTCGGTTTTACTTAACTCATTTGCCAGGCGAAACTTTAAGGAAAAATTTATCTTTTTAGTTAACATAAAACACTTGTTTGAAATCTGAATTCATAGCAAAATATGATGTTTATAAAACAAGTTTCATATGTCACTGAAAAAAAGGTCTCCAAGGATCCTTTGCCTGTAGAAACATTTTTCTTGTTCTTGTTTCTTCCCTAGACTTTATAGTACATTTGTTTCTCTGTATTAGTGGGCAGTTGGGTTCAGGATCTCCCGTGAACACTCAAATCCACAGATGTTCCATGTCCTTGATATAAAATGGCAGAGTATTTGCATATAACCTATGTACATCTTCCCCTATACTGTAAATCATCTCTAGGTTACCTATAATACTTAACAGGATGTAATCATACATGTTCAGTACAGAGGCAAATTTTCTAAATATTTTTGATCCATGGTTCATTAAACCCACAGATATGGAATCTGTGAATACAGAGGGCCTACTCTATGTAGAAAAAGTTTTCAAGATCGTCTTATAAGAAAAACTTTAGTAGAACATGAACATATGGAGATAGTATGCTTTATACCTTATAAAATGATTTTTGCATTGCACCTAGCCTTTTATTCTGCTTTTTGGAGTGAATGGTTAAGTGATGTATGAGCTCTTTTTCCCCTCTTGCACATGTGGAATGGGAGGTGAGTTTGATAAAGCACCTGTACAAGGGAACAGCTAGAGACACTATGTCATAAATGCCCAATGTATAACAGGTAGACTCCTTAATCAGAGTCCTAAATACTCTGCAAAAATCACAAAGTAGTTTAGGCTCTTGCCTTTCTAAGTCCAGAAAATAACATCTACTACCATCATTTTCACTTCTACCTACACCTCTTCAGAATGCCAGTATGTCCTGCTGAACATTCATACCCAAGGCTCATCAAATTTAATGTGTCCAAGTGCACACATTATTGTTTTCCTCTATTTTCTTTCTGGTCCTCTTAGTTCCTATATAGTTCAACCTTACCAGAAGTTCTGAAAATCAATAAACACTCTATGTATTCTCTTTTCTTTCAACTATCACTACCTTAGTGCAGAATTTTCTTGTTCTTTGTTTGGACTGATGTTTAGATACTTTAACTACTCTCCTCTCTAACTGCTCTTATTTATAACAATTATTCTGCCATTGAAGTAAGAGTATTTTGCTAAAATTTAAATCTGTGCATGATCTACCCTAGTTTCTAATCACCCAATGGCTTCCTATCATCTGCAATTTAATTTCCAAATAATTCCTCGTCACTGCTCCATGATAAACAAAAGTAAACTTAAAACAAACTAAATTCCCATTGTTCAGTAAGCTTGGAAATGTTGTGTATTTAGCTTCCTTTAAACAATTGGTATGTCAAAATATTTGCAAAACTGAGCCATATGAAAACCTGCTTGACTAGGTCTGGCCCAAGCATCTTATAATTAATTCTATATACACATGTTCAGCCACTTCTCTTGTTACCCACTCTTACATTTTTTACAACATAGTACGCCTAACCACATATTTGTTGTTTGGTCTCTGTAAGAGCATATGCAAAAAAAATGTTACCCTTGAGATATCTCAAAGTATACCCTTTAAAACAGGTACTATCCTTTCTGGATCTCTATATCCCCATTACCTACAGTGCCTGTCAAACAGTAGATTCTCAGTGAATACATGATGACAGAATGGGTGGAGGGATGGGTGATGGTAAACTGACAGGCTGCAGTCATGCATTATTCTAGACAATGAGGCAGAAAAGCCCTACAGCAAGCTTGTCCAACCTGTGGCACATGGCCACTTATGGCCCAGGACAGCTTTGAATGCAGCCCAACAAAAATTCATAAACTTTCTTAAAACATTATGAGATTTTATTTTGCAATTTTTTTAAGCTCATCAGCTATCATTAGTGTTAGTGTATTTTATGTGTGGCCCAAGGCAATTCTTATTCTTCTGGTGTGGTCCAGAGAAGCCAAACAATTGGACACCCCTGCTTGACAGAGTAAGGTATGCTTAACAAAACAGTTTGTGTAGAGAGACAATGGCAAGTGTCTATGGCTTTCTGTTCTGTTTCCATTCCTTGCCTGAGGGAATATTTACCCTTCACATCTTAGGCTTCTAGTAATGAAGGGACACACAAGCCATGAGGAGGTCATCAATGAGACCCTTCTTTTGGAGAAAAAGGAAGATTTCAACTCAGCCTTGGTTTAACCTGTTTCTCTGGAGAGCTTGCCTCTTTCTTCTTTGTTTTTTTGTTATGTTTTGTTTTGTTTTTTTACAGAGAAGTGAATTCTCAGTTGAGAACACTTCATATTTCACAATATCCTAAATGAATATTAACCTCAAGGGACTGTTCTTCTTGTTTTTGTTTTTTAATTTTTCATATAGCTTTTTGGGTTTTTTAAATTTGTTTATAGCTTGTGGGCTCAAAAATGTCAAAGATGACTACTGGTCGGTTAAAATCTGCAGAGCAATTAATTGAATTAGGACTCCACAGACTGGGCAAGGGTATTTAAAATTTCTCTTTTTAACCCTCATTTGATAAGTTGCTCTCATGTTAATTAATACATTAGGGCCCATGTATTAAGATTGAGTCTTACAAAAATCAATTGACTTTTCTTATTGTTCTGCTTTATAATATTCACTTTTTAAAATGTTGGGGAATAGAGTATACATTTGACGCCATAGGAAATAAAACTGCTTTACTGCTAATATATTCATGATAGCATCCCCTAAGGCTTCAATGAAACTGCATGAAGAATATTGAAAATCATCTCTAAATAAGGAAACAAAGATTCTGTTAAGCAGGAAATAAGACATTAGGGAAGTTACAAACACATGTTAATTGAAAAAAACATAAACTGCCAAAGACTAAAATACCAGAATAGCTACACTGGTTAAGGGCTATTATATGTATTTGCTAAGCATTGATGTTAAAGGAGGAGGGGAAAGATATTTAGACTGATTCGATAAGTATCACAAGTGAAATATGATGGGGTTATTAAGTGGAGACTTTTCAGCAGGTGAGCAGAAGTGACCTAACCTGCTCATGAAGATTAGAGTATAGATTACTCCTTGAAAACTGCAGTGAGAGATGTCGCCAAGATTTTTGGCTGGTTTACGATTTGGCTCAATATTTTGTTTGCTTTTTTAATGAAAGGAGACTCTAATCTTGGAGGAAATAATCATTTCCCATGTGAATCAGTGATTCCTTCGTTTTTTTATCCAAAATTACAAATTTAGAATTGAAAGCAACAATAATGATAATAATAATGACACGTATAATGCAAAACTTGTTTAGGTTTACAGAATGTTTACAGTTGTTTGCAAAGCAATTGCATTTGTGTTGTCTTTTTGATGCACACGAAAACACCACAGAGCAGATGACATTACCATCATTTCAATCAAGAGGATCTCAGAGGTAGTGATTTTCTGAAGACACACCTCGGTGCAGGAATTTTGTTTTGTTTTGTTTTGAGACACAGTCTCGCTCTGTCTCCAGGCTGGAGTGCAGTGGCATGATCTCGGCTCACTGCAACCTCCGCCTCCTGGGTTCAAGCGATTCTCCTGCCTCAGCCCCCGAGTAGCTGGGATTACAGGCACGCACCACCGCGCCCAGCTAATTTTTGTATTTTTAGTAGAGACGGGGTTTCACTATGTTGGCCAGGATGGTCTCAATCTTCTGACCTCATGATCCGCCCACCTCGGCCTCCCAAAGTGCTGGGATTACAGGCGTGAGCCACCACGCCCGGCCGAAATATTTTTTTAATAATAACTACTGCCACCATATTTTACTGCCTGCTATATTACACAAATTGCCTAGGTACCTTATAGATATTTCTATTCCTTATAACAATCTTCTGTGGTAAGGATTATGAATGTGACTTATTGATAATAAAACTAAAAGTCAATGTGGTTAAGTGACTTTCACAAGGTCACACAATTAGTTTTAGAACAGCCTTGCCACAAGGTGATGTCCTATCTTTTAACCGTGACGTCTCCATTTTTACCCTAAGAAACTGTCATCCAGGTCCTATTTATATACTTCCAGGATTAGAAAGCTTTCTGTGTACTTAGTATGATTTATTATCAGATATTCTGTAAAACACGTTCTTCAATGGGAATTAAAATTACAGCTTGTTGTAAGATTGAATTAATATAGTCTCAATGACTCCCTCTTCCACAGAAAGCCTTTAATTCTGTAAGGAGGGTTCCAGTATTCCAATGTTAAATGCAGCAACCACGGTGGCTCAAGCCTGTAATCCCAGCACTTTGGGAGGCCGAGGTGGGCGGATCACGAGGTCAGGAGATCAAGACCATCCTGGTGAATATGGTGAGACTCCCGTCTCTTCTAAAAATACAAAAAATTAGCCAGGCGTGGTGGCGGGCGCCTGTAGTCCCAGCTACTCGGGAGACTGAGGCAGGAGAATGGCGTGAACCCGGGAGGCGGAGCTTGCAGGGAGCCGAGATTGCGCCACTGCACTCCAGCCTGGGCGACAGAGCGAGACTCCATCTCAAAAGAAAAGAAAAGAAAAGAAAAGAATTAGTTTTGTTTGCACTGTGGATTTGACAGGCCATGATGAATCATGGCCCTCGCCCATTGGCTCTTTAGTTATAGGCATGTCATTTCAATGTCACCCACAATCTGAAAACTCTAGCAAGATCAACATTGCAGGTTGCTCTCATACTTGGCCTACTTCTGTGAAATTTATCAAAAGCCCATCAGGCTCTCAAATTTGTAAGGGATTTTAATAGGTCATTTCATCAGAGATTTTATCTGATACTTAAGAACCATCTAGAAATGCCTTACAAATGAATATAAGTTTGGCAAAAACTGCTTTTACTTTTGCACCAACCTAATACCTAGAGTACAGAATGTAATGTACTCACAGGGATGGGAAACTCAATGTGGCCTATCCTCTGTTGAACTGAGAAAAGAGGAAATTAGCACATTTAATAATTACCCAAAACATATGGTTTTAATTTTCTTATTTTATAGGTAAGAGAGTCCAAACAAATTGATTCAAGTAGCACATCCCCAGTAGGTTTTGTGCAAGTCTTTGAACCTAGATCTAACTGGCTTTTTCTTTTATATTACACTATCTAACAAAAGGAAAACATAAGCAAATCATTTGCTGATTACTTCTGTAACACAGACTGAATCAGGTGAGGCTTTTGTTTTTTAAGTTCTTGTTGTGTGTATACATGTTTTAATCTATATACTGGTGAGCTGGCATGAATCATTGGCTGAATAATGTCTGAATGTCTCCAGAGAACACAGAATGTGTGACTGATACAATCAACATATAATGGATGGGTTTAGAAATATGAAGAGTCTCTTCAAAGAGAATGAATAGTTCCCAAGCCAGAACAAGACTTGACTCATTGATATCAGCTGAGCTAAAGAAGAAAAATATGTTAAGAGAAAATAGGTTGTCAGCAACAGCAGCTGAGAAAAATGCAGAGAGAGGAAAACCAATGTTTGCAATGCGTATCTGGACAGTGTCTAAGGAAAGAAAAATTGAATCTGGGTGATGTGAGCATTGTCTCAGAGGAGCTTAGTGTCCCTCTGCAGTCCAATCCTCTCATATTACATATGCTCCTTTTGAGGAAGAGGCCTGCTACTAGAGGCAGTCACATTTAAGAACGTTGAATTGACTTGATTTTCTAGGAGATAGAGCGTTAACAGACTTAATTTAAGAATAAGTCTTTATCAGGGTTCTTCTACTCTTCCTTGAAATAATTTATTTGCACAAAATTAGTAAGACAATCCTGGGTCAGGGGCTGCTAATTCTACATGGATGAGTGCCAAAATCCAGATACTTCTAGGATTTAGGGCAAACTATCTCCTTCACTATGAATGGAATGTTCAGAGTGGGCCATAATTTGAAACTGAAATAATACAATCCAAGATTTGGCAAGGGCTTAATTAAAAGACTCAGCCTGCTATGATGCTAGTGTTATATCAAACTAAATTTGGCCTGAGGATGCTCCATACTCTAGTCCTGACATAACAAACTGAAACCTAACTTAGTGCATAAACTGAAAGCCTAAATTAGGAGCATACTTTTATAACAAACAGCTGAGGGTCAGCCAACCACAGCAGTTGAACTTCAGTCAATTGCAGGCGGCCAACTGTTCAAACTATGTTCCAATAAGGCAAACGCTGAAATATAATCAATCGAGCTATCTCTGTACCTCACTTTCATTTTCTGTACCTCATTTCCATTTCCTATCCATAAATATTGTCTGACCACGTTGCAGACCAGAGTTCTCTGAACCTGTTTAGGTTCTGAGGGCTGCCTGGTTTGTGAATTGTTCCCTGATCCATTAAATTTTATCAAACTTAACTTGCTTAAGGTTTTCTTCTGTTAATACTAGGACGCAGACTGCCTCTAACCTATTTATATTAGTCAGGGTAGGCTAGATTATGGTGACAAATAGATCTAATTAAATGTGGTTAGCTCAACACAATAGAAGTTTGTTTATTGCTCATATTAATGACAGGCCCTAGTTTGACAGGAATTAGTTGGTGGTAGTGTTTGTGTGAGTTTTGTTTTGCAGGGAGAAGCTCTTCTCCACACAGCCAGTCTTGAACCAAGACTATGACAGCTCTGGCATCTTGAGTTTGTGGTCCCCGAGGTTACCCTTGAGATCATCTCTTTTCCCAAGTTGAAAGGAGCAAAACTCACAGAGGAACATGTGGAAGGGTTTTATGTTCATGCCTATAAGTTGTATGTATCACTTCTGATTAGCTATAATTCAGTCATATGACCAATATAACCATAAGGGACATTGGGAAATGTAGCTTGGCTGTGTTTCTGGGAAAAACAGGAGAAAGGGTTTGCCAACATCATTAATTACCAACTTAGGCAAAAGAAATTCTACTTGTAGATCAGCTAATGTTACAGAAGGAATATATTAGGGGTCAAATAGGGTTTTGTAAGTTATCCCTACAGCATTCCACGTGTGTGTATGTGTGTGCGTGTGTGTGTGTGTGTGTGTGTGTGTATTTCTTGTTATAGCACTTTTCATCTTTTTCTTCCTGTCCTTTCTTCTCTGGTAGAGTTTATTGGAAGAGACAGGTTTTGGAGTGAGAGGAACTGGGATTGCAGTCCAGCCAGCTCTTCTACATTTCAGCTACATAGCCTCATCAAGTTTTAGTTTCCTCATCAGTCAAATTAGGGCAATAATGTGTAGGCACTAGAAGGCCAGTCTGGCATGAGATATGATGTCAGAGAGATTCTGTGTTTTGGCCACATCTGCTCATATTAGAACAATCTGGTCACTAGAAAAATAGGAAATAAAATACCTTTGAGCTTGACTTTAAAAAGTCACTTAAAATTTTTATTCTTTTTTTTTACATTAACTTTATTAAGATAAGCTTTATAAACAACAACATTCAATGATTTAAGTGTCCAATTTGATAAATGTTAACAAGTGTAGATAGTACTGTAATGGTAGTCATAATAGAGAATATTAATATGTATTTCCAATACCCCAAACCTTCCCTTATGTTTCTCTGCAGTCAATATATTCCCATTCCACCCCTGGCCCTGATAACCATTGGCATCATTTCTGTCAATGCAGCTTTTCCTTTTCTGGAACTTCATATAAACGAAATCATAAAGTTTTATGTGTGGTCTCTTTCATTTAGCGTGATGTTTTGAGTTATAGCCATGCTTTGTGTATATCAATAGTTAGTTTCTTTTCAATGAATATTATTCTATTGTATAGATATACCAAATTTATTTATAAATTCTATGCCTCAGTTCATAGACATTTGTATTTTTTGGCTTGGCTAATGTGAATACATCTGTCATGAAAATTTGAGCACAAGTCTTTGTGTGGACACATATTTTCATTTCTCCTGAGTAAATACCTAGGAACTGGACTTCAATGTCTGTCTTGCTTTGTTTTAATGCTTAATAATTTATATATGTTTGCTAACCTGGCTTATATCTCTACATTGGGGAGGAAAACATTTTGCATAAAAGACAATAAATTTTGTTTACATGATTGGGATATGCCCCTATTTAATACCTTGACTGCTTTATATAGTAATCTCTCAAGCTTGGCCAGTGTGAATTTGACAGACAAATAGCAACATAAGAGCTATAGTTATGTTTCTTCCACATATTAAGTTTCTTAAGTTTCTTCCATGTATGAAGCACTGAACTTGGTAAGGTCTTAACAATAGCAACAACAAGTATTTAAACATCAACAACTCTGTCACTGATAAAGTTTTATGTTATTTTTAAAATGTAGAAACTTAAGCATAAAGATGATTATACTTGCCCAAAGTAACTAATTAGAAAGGGGTACAGAATGAAGTCCAAACCCTGATCTACCTGATTTTCAATCCCATACATTTTCCATTGATCTATGTTTTTGAACCTTCAAAGCTGCAGAAAACTTTCTGGCAATGGAGATCTCGTTCATGGTTTTGTCTGTAGGAAGAACCATCTGAGTGTCTTGCAGCTCCTCTCCCTTTACTAGGCACCTTTTTGCCTATGGCAGATTATGCAGAGCAAATATTGCCCATTACTTTCTGCATTACATAAAGTCAATTTGGATTTTTGAATAATTATTTCCATCAGACTCTCAATACAAAGTTTATGAAGATAGGTATACTTAATAGTTTAAATAATGAATATTATAGCAATCCTAGATAATAGAGAAGTCTTCAAAAAATTAATCACCACCTCAAAAAGGCAAGATAGTCTCTTACAGTTGACAAACCCCTTAGCAACACAAACAAAGCCCTATAAATCCTCCTAACATTTTCCCCCTTCCCTTTAAGTGTACCATGTTGGGCTGACTCTATATCATCTAACCTTAACATCATTCATGATCTAGACAATGACAAAAAGAGGATAATAGCAGTTCAATGTACTTTTAAAATGCCTTATCTTTATAAATAATATTGAAATCTCTTTGCTATTTTATCTATGCCTTGCATGTAAGGCAAGAATGGTGTTTTGCTCATAGGAAGTTCTCAAATTAGTACTTATTTGAGTACAAGGTCAATTTGTCACTTCCTCTTTCTATTAGTTTTGATTATACCATGCTAGAAGTATGAAATTATTTTCTATTAATAAGGAATTGTTTCAGCAATGGCTGAAGCAGAGAGTACTTGCAGATGTAATCTCAAAAGGTATGTAATGTGATTGAATAAAATAAAATAACTTCAATTATTTTCAATCTCATTATATCATTAAATTTATGCTATTTATTTAGCAGGGTGGGTGATCCAGGAAAAGACATAGGTTCATTTGAGTGATACTAGAAGCAATAGCTAGGGGATCTTAATTGCTCCACTGATGAACAAATTTTTTTTCCTTCTACTTCTCTGTTCTTCCCTTTCTAGTAAAGCTTACTGGAAGAGACACAGTTTTGGAGTAGGATGATCTGGGATTGAAGGCAGGCTCTTTTGCTTTACATCTAACTGATGTCTTCAAGTTTTAGGTTTCTACTGAGCAAAACAAAGATAATAATATCTTCTCATATGACTGTTGTGAGAATTAAGTGGCTGCTTACGCTACTCTCTAAGGTAGGAAATACAGAAAGAGAACGAGCTTAGATGGGTAATATAAACTTTATTCCTGTGATGAACTCAGGCGCCTGTCAGACATTTGTAAAATATTTAAAAGGTGATGAGTAGGTAGGGTAAATTTGGACAGCCAGATCAGAAGTGTAGAGTTTTG
The DNA here is from genome assembly GCF_000001405.40 of Homo sapiens. Lineage (NCBI taxonomy): Eukaryota > Metazoa > Chordata > Mammalia > Primates > Hominidae > Homo > Homo sapiens. The sequence goes on from NC_000011.10 coordinate 80,727,140, forward strand.
TGAGGTGTCAGATGGAATGACTGTTGTTTGCTCAAGGAGAGAATGTAGAGTCAGCAAGACTCTGGGAACACAGGGCAGAGACCCTGGGTGCATCAGCATGTCAGGAGTGGGCAGCAGTGCCTCAAAAGCAATGTAGAAGTTTCCAGAGTGGAAATGCATAACCATGTTCTTCTGCATCTTTGTGGGCTGGAGTACAGCACTGTGCTATTTTTGTGAGGCTTTTGTGCAGTTGATTAAAAAAATAGTATCTTTGAAAAGAACATTAGAGAACACCAAGGGAAACTTATAATTGCCTAAACATTTAAGTTTTCTAAGTTGTTGATGACAGCTGGTCGAGCAGTCTTTTCTTCTACTCTCCAATTTAGAGGGAAATGCTGCCAACAATCTCTCACCAGCAGAGGGACCAACCTGGATGCTTTCCTTGTAGCAGAGGCTGCTCTGGGGGTGAAAGTGAAACGAGAGCACCCAGGCTGTCTGATGGTAAAGTCTGCATCCTCGGCTTGATCTGGCCTCACTTTTGGCTCCATTTAACAAACATCCTACTTACTGAGCATCTATCACATATTGTGTTGGGCAACTGGGACAAAATATGACTGAGAAGCAGTCTCTGCCAATAGGAATTTTACAATCTAATGCAAGATTGAGCCATACCAATTCATGGAGACAAACACAAAAAGGAATGCCTAACACCATGCCTGGCCCCAGTTTTAAAATATTTTCTTTAACTGGAAGAGAGTTTTCCATTATGTACCTTCTCTCAGGCAATATTAGATTTGTATCTGTATTATGGAAAAGGTATTATTACCTCCATTTTTTAAAAGGGCAAATTAAGTCTAAGAGACTTCAATTTGCCTAGGATTACAAAGTCAACAAAAGGTAAAGATAAAATATTAGCTGGTTATGTTTGGACTGCAAAGCCCAGTTCATTACACAACACTATTTAGAAATGCAGAAAACCAACTGTGAAATTTTAAATGAGAATACACTGTTTACCTGCTAAATTCAAGAGAGGAAGAGAGGTCAGGGAGAAAGAAGGGACGATGGTGAGGAGGAAAGAAAAAAAAAGAGACAGGAAAAGGTGAGAAGAAAGACAATGCAAAGAAGTAGAAAGAGTGAGGAAAGAAAGTTAAAAGAACTAAGAGGTACAGGTGATAATGCTTTCCTGAGCTAAAGATAAACATCCCTTCCAGCCAATAATATTTATAAAAATTTCTTCTCCAGCATTCAGAAGGTGAAAGAAGATCATTACTCAGTAGGACCTCTTCAAAGGGTGAGTAAAAGCTGTAGAGTTAATAATGTTAAAAAATCTTTCCCCAAAATCAAGAAAAGCAGGAGAAATAAAAATAAAGCTCAAAGGGAAAATGGAACCAAAGATAAAAATCAGACCATGCTATTACTAACTCAAAGACTTGAAATGAGCAGAATAATATTTATAGACCTGTGGGCTGTGAAATGAAGGGATCTGTTTCTCTGGCATGCATATGTCAAATATAAATGCATGTGTATATGGACTTCATAACTTGCCTATCTTACTTTTATTTGAGGATCTACAAAATGTGATAGAAAAATGTAAAACTTGAAGTTAGAAACCTTTGAGTATGGCTCTCACATTTTACACAATTACTTGGGAAAATAATGTATATCAACCTCAGGGTCTTCAATTGTAAAATGGAAACAACATTCCAGCCATATCTATAAAACTTGTTATGATCAATTATCTTGAATCAAATGAAATGAGGTAGTAGTGGCATCATGATTAAGATCATAGGCTGTTTGGTAAGTGCTGGGTTTGAATTAAGGACCTGCTGTTTAACACTAAGCAAACTCTTTTACTTTGGTAAGCATCATTTTCTTGTCTATAGAATGGGGATAATAACAGTACTAAAGTCATGATGAGGTTATGGGAATTGTTTGGGATCACGCATATCATTGCCTGGCACAGTACCTGGTAAGCAGTAAGTTGTCAAATAATGCTATTTGATGATTGTAAGGATGGTGACAATGCATGACAATGACAAAGATAATCATGATGGTTATGCTTGGGAGGATATAATATCCTCTGGAAAGTCTTCCCTCACCTCATTCTTACCTCTGCAGGAGACACAAATGTCCACCTCTATGTTACTGTATGATTTTGAACATACTTCCACTATAGATCTTTGTTAAATAATGATACTGACAGGATGAAGGGAGTGATGATGCTGTAAGATTTATTAGGCACAGTATAGGTAGATAGCATATTATCTATCCTCTCCTGGTAGAGTGCCTCAATCCTGAGCTGAGTCATATCAATACAATCTTTTAAAAGATACTGTGAATGGCTGCTTTCTCACATGGCTCTCTTCACCTTCAAACCCACAATAGCAAGTATTTTTCATTCTTTGGATCTCTCTGATTTCCTCTTCTGCTACCAGTTAAAGACAATTCTGTGCTTTTAAAGAATAATGTGATTAGATTTGGTTGATTTAATGAAGTAATCTCCCTTTCCGTGAACTAAAGGTCAATTGATTAGTAGCCTAATCATTGATTAATAAGCCTACTAATTGATTAGTAGTATGATTTTGACTATACGACTACTATAGATGCTATTAAATAATCCCGTTGTCACTAAATTTCCTGTTCTTCTGTCCTGCAAATTTATGAGCATCATGAGATTCTGTTCCCTCACTGCCTTAGACATAGTAGACTTTCAAAGAATATCTGCTATAATATTCTGGGATTGCACACTGTAAACTCTAAAGCAGTAGAGGCATGCTCACTAGTGTAACTGTAATTGTTTATATAGGTTTTTTCTCCTGTTCAATTTTTTTTTTTAAATAATAAGCATTCAGTGTGTTGGGAAGGTGTCCAATATCACCACCACCTGTGATTCTGAAAACAGCTGTTTTTTGTTTGGTATAAAAGCAAGGAGGAAGAAATTGACTTGGAACTGGAGGTACTTAATAACAGCACAAAAGATAAACAATACAAACCTTGTTGATGAAAATGTGGTCATAGAAGACCAGCATAACTATCTCCTGGGATCTCATTAGACAAGCAAAGTCTCAGGCCCCATCCAAAACCTATTGAATTGGAATTTGCATTTAACAAAATTCTCAAGGGATTCCTGAATTTGAGATGCTCTGCTCTAAAACCCTTGGCATAGTCACTGAAGTAGGCAGAGAGCTCTTTTTCTGAATTATCTTCAGGAAACGGCACTTAGAAAGAAGCAAACATCTACAGATCAACTCTATGTACCAAGCTCAGGATAGGTGCTTTGATACACATTTTACTTTAAACCACCCAGTGTTCTTATAAAGTGTATGCTGTTATCATTCTTCTTCTTTTTTTTTTTTTTCCTGAGACACAGTCTCACTCTATCATCCAGGCTGGAGTGCAGTGGTGCGATCTTGGCTGACTGCAACCTCCGCCTCCCAGGATCAAGCAATTCTCCTGCCTCACCCTCCCAAGTAGCTGGGATTACAGGTGCACACCACCATGCCTGGCTAATTTTTGTATTTTTAGTAGAGATGGGGTTTCACCATTTTGGCCAGGCTGGTCTTGAACTCCTGACCTCAAATGATCCATCCGCCTCAGCCTCCCAAAGTGCTGAGATTATAGGTGTGAGCCACTGTGCCCAGCCATTATCATTCTTTTATAGATAAAACCATGATGCTCAGAGACAATGAATAAGGTAGGCAAGGTCACACAGTAAGCAAGTTGCAAAGTTTGAATATGATGTGATGATGCTGCTTCAAAGTCAATGTTTGCAGGAATCCTAAGCAGTCACATGAAGCCCTAATTTAGCGAACCTGTTCTTAGCCTCCAAACCTCCCATCCAGAACCATTACCTCTATCTGAAGTTGTGCATTGGCACACCTTGTTTAAAGGCCAGACTTCAAATTCAGGCAGGTATGTGTTGAAATCTCAGCTTCTCTATTTATTTGCTATGAAACATTAATATTCCTGTACCCAAACAGCAAAAACACTCCCTCCACAGGGCTGCTACAATGACTTAATATCATGTGCAATAAGCACTTGGCACAGTCCTTAACGGACAGTAAGTGTTCAACAAATACTAGATGCTACTCCAATTAAACTATTTCTTTCTAAAAACCTTCTCAATTTGATATAAATAACACTCCCCAAAATGTCTTAATGAAAGTATTGCTTATTCCTGTGTTTTATAGTCAACGGCCGTTTTTTTTAATACACTTGGTTATTTCAAAAGAACTCACACCAAAATATCTAATTCCAAACTCATGATTTCCTCTATATATTTCACTATAGCTTAAGCTATCTTTGGCATATCAATTACTATATTATACTGTAATTAATTTTTATTCCCACTGCAGTATGATTTATTTAATATCAGACACAATCTTTTATTCATATTTTGAATCTGCAGTCCCTAGGACAGTGCCTTGCACATCAAAAACATTAAGTGATTTTATATGTCATTGGTCTAGATATGCTTATACTTGGGTATGACCATAGAAATAGCATTTTTAATTGTCTCAGAGGGAAATGCCATGTTTTCTTTAGATCACACATTTAATAAGTATAAACTGTTCTATTTGGGAAAGTAAACTATTCACTTAAGAGTCTAGAGTTATTATTAAAATGGTGCTATATTCATAAAATCGTCTTTCATTTTAAGATCTGAAAAGAAAATTCCTACTTGTAAAATATTACTGGTTTGTCAGGGAACAAACAAATAAAGAGATACACTGCAATTCTGGCTCTTCGTTATAAAGAACAGTTGATATAAAGCATAGGATGAGTTGTCATTATGTTAACGGAAACATCAATTCTTTTACAACAAAGTCATATTCAATGGTTATTTGACAAGAATTGTATTTCCTGTTTCGTTGTTGCCACTAGTTGGTTAGTAATATAATGAACATTTTCAAGGCTATTAGTTTCGCCAATCTCTCAGTAGAGCTTACATTGTAAGGGTTGTGGAGCTGGCCCTCAGATCCAAATCCATAATACAGACAAATAGTATTCTATTTCACAGAGGTGACATGGGAACTTATGCAACGTTTCAACATATCTTGATATCAAACTGAAATGAAGCCTCTTTGGACTCTATTGTTAAAAATGAGGACCCTTTATTAACTATGCACCTCGAAGCTTCATGGTTGTGTTTTCGAAGAGATCATCAACAGAATAAGCATTACAATGCAACTTTTCTAGGGTTTGAATCCCAGTTTTAATATACTCTAATTGTATGAAGTTACAGATTTAATTAACTTTGCTTATTCTCATTTTTACATTTGTAAGACTGAAATAATCTTTTAGGGCTATTGTGAAGATTAAAATGAGGTAGCATGTATAGCAGGTAGGAGTGTACATAAACAGCAGTTATTCTACTCTTTCCAAAGTGAATGAATGCCTAGATTCTGGTCACATTTGATCTACTATAAAGGAATGTCAATATAAACAGCATAAGTTCCCATTATAAGACTCTGTTTCTATCTCTCTCTCTGTCTCTCCTTACATAGGCCGATATATGTGTGTCTAATTACATTAAGGTTTCCTATAACTAGGTGATGCATTTCCCTCTGAGAGTTAGGTTTGTAAAGTCTATATATAATGCTTTAGATTAGCAGAAGTTGCCTTAAGGGATAGAATGTCTCCCAAATTAGAATAGGAAGGTAGAATCTAAAAATCTAACGAAGATATGTCTAAAATTAGACTAAAGCTTTTAAGATGATGATGATGATAGGGGTGATAAGGATAGCCATCATTTATTGAATACCTGTTATGTGCTAGGATCTGTAGTAGATGTTTTACATACATTATCTGCACAGCTTTGAAAATACCTAAAATATTATTTCCATTCGAGTCCTCCAGAAACTAAAGTTCAAGTAGTTGGAATTACTTGCTTGGAGTGAAACAACTAATAACTGGCAGAATAGGAATTAGAATTTAGATATTTTCTGACTCCACAGTCAGTGGATGTAATAGACTACCACCGTACCCCATTGGAAGAAATGTCACGAAAGTGTTCTGCCAAGAACTACCAAAAGGAAACTTAAAAATCAAATAAAAAAATGGTGTTGCATCTTAAGCAATATTTGGAGGAGCTGTCATTGCTCTGACTAGCTGGTATGAATTCTGGACACTTTACAGTTTTAGCCCTGTGTGGATATATGTATAGCCGGTTAACCACATTATTTATTTTATAAGAAATAAACTTGGTTTCTGTGACTCAAATATTCATGAACATAATTATCACTGGATATACTGACCATGTTTCTGGATCCTCAGGGTTGAATCTAGCCTCTGAAGAGTGTTGTCCCCTAAGGCCCGGACTACAGCGCACCCACTTATCAATGAGTACGGGTTAGAACACTTAGCCAAACTTCTGCTATGACATTGCTGCTTTTTGTTGTTGTTAATAACATGTACCATCTTAAAACCAAATGGCTGTCAAATGAACATTTTTAAACAGATTTCATGGCATTTGGTATGTAAGTAACATATTCAAAATAACAACATAACCACAGAAAGTATTCACACCCTCTTTTAATTTTTCTATTTTTTTCTTTTACTTTATTTTCCTTTTCCAATGAAGGTAAAATAAATGTTTCCTATATCACAAATATCATATGCATAAAGATAAAGTAGTTTCTGTAAACCATTTCTACATGCCAGTATTTCATGGCCTCATATGGAGAAAACACAGCCACTTCTCCAGAAGGTGACTTCACTCCCAAATGCCAATGCCATCTACCTCCTGACAGGCTCTATCAAGCAGCTGCTACCAAAGAGAGACCAGCCCTTGCATGTCTAAACTGGCTGCCAGTTTGTTTTTTCATTGAAATTAAGTGCTACCGTATTATGAGGCTGGATCTGTCAAGCCCCATGTGCAGACAGTGGACCAATTATCAAGTGGCAGGCGGCACCTGGTTGGCTACAGCAGCTGAGAGACTCAAGGCATCACACACAGCACAGCTTAATATGATTGCTTTGGGGGAGCTCAAAAAGTAGTAGATCAAAAGCAACAGAATGAGTCAACCAGCCAGGGCCTTAGCCTGGTAGAGTTTTATATTATCCTCTGTGCTCTCCTCTTGTCTATTAGTTTAATGAAAGCAAATCAAGTTAACTATTTAATAAAACAATTTTCTTTTTAATAAAAGTCATTGCTGATCAAATTAAATGATGAATGTGAAAGAAGTTTGAAAGCATAACGTGCAATACACACTGATCACTGATGTGTAAGCCTTGGGTTAGGCTTGTCTCTGGAATTGGGACAGGTGGCCCTTGATAGTCTTCATCTATAGGCTCTTCTCTGATGATATGCCTGGAGTCTTGGCAAGACAGGTGCAAAAGAGTTAATATCTAGTTACCATGGATTTATATACCAAATCTCATACAGCTCTGTAGTGAAGAAAAGTCAGCGTTCTTGCAGGAACTGAGTCTGTCCTGGGTAAAGTCAATTACTAATTCTGTAACCTTTGCCAAGTCACTTCTTTCTCTGAACCTTGGATTCCTCATCTCTGTAATAGGTACAAATGTCTATCTCACATAGTTGCAGAAGAAATCATAGTGAAGTCTAGCATTTCAGAATTGCTCAGTCTATGTTAGTTCTGATCCCAAATTCCAAAACTCTACACTACTACGCCAATGTTCTAAGCCATTAGATAACCAGGAAGATGGGAAGGCAGCACTAGTCAAGGTCACAGCTATAAAAATGCAGAGATGCCCAGTTTCAACGTTTTAGAAATAGTGTCTATAAAATGTATGTGTCCGATTCTTAACTCATTTACCCCTTTCATAAAGAGAATTTCTATCGTGTAAATTATCAAGATAAATTCTACTAACACGCAGCTGCTTTATCATCCATGTATCTTATTTAGGAGCTTTCTTCTTTCTGAATACAGTCATGTATTCAGAACGATGGGCTATAGCACAATGATGGGATATAGTCTAAGCAAGGTGTCATTAGGGAATTTCATCATTGTTGCAAACCTCATAGAGTGCACTTACACAAACTTAGATAGTATAGCCTACTACACAGATAGGTTATATGGTCTGGCCTATTGCTCCTAGGCTATAAACATTTACAGCATGTTACTGTATTGAATATTGTAGGCAACTGTAACACAGTGGTAAGTATTTGTGCATCTAGACATAGAAAAGTTACAGTAAAAATACAGTGTTATAATCTTATGGTACTACTATCATACATGTGGCTTATAGTTGACCAAAACATTGTTATACAGTGCATGACTGTATAGTTTAAGAAAGATACAGAAAGACATCAGTGAGCATTTTTTCCCTCGTCATCGTGGAGAAGGATGAGTTTGATTGCAATGTTTCTATTTATCTATGAAAATTACGGATACGATCTTCAACCCATATAGAAATATCAATATTTTCCTATTAAGTCAGACACAATAGTCTAAAAGCCATGTATTTTAATTGATCTTTAATAAAAACACAAGGTGATGGTAAATTATTTTCTAGAATACTTATGTATTTCCCTAGAATGTGAGCTCCTTGAAAGCACAATCTATAGCACAAAGTCACTTCATGGCATAAACTGCACATTAATTACCATAATAATGAGCTAATTAACAAATTAATGTATAAATTAGATTACAAATTGACTAGCTCTTTTTTAAAAAAAAAATAAGCTTTTTCCTTTTTCAAAAATAAGTCAGCATTTTGATATAAGAATAATATAATATGGACTAGAGGGAGAGGGCACTTAAGTTCAAATACATTTAAATAGATAGATACAAAAATAAGATAGATGGTAGACACATAAAAGAAAAGGGAAGACTTTTGCTTACGGTAGAAAGCTGAGTGCCAACTAATGTATATGGATAAAGTGCTAGCATTTCAAAATCACCATTTTACACTCATCACTGGGAGAAAAAAAAAACTGTATCAGGCAAGAATCCTCAAAGGATGCTAAATCTAGGTGAAAATTATCATAAACAGGGTATTTTTATGATCCTAAGGAATGTCCTCACCAGCTATTTATTAGTTGCAAAGGAAGAAAACAGCAATCATACGATGGGGGAAACTGGAAAATACCTTGAATAGGTAGTCAAAATTAATATGACTAATGAGAATTTAGACATTACACGCCTCTAGACATGATACCCTGAGAAGGACAAAACATCACATAACCTGAATCTAATCATGAGAAAACATTAGATAAATAACAAATAGTGAATCACTCTATTTAATAGAGGGGAGTATCCTCCCCTCTATTAAAAGAAAGGTATTGAAAGAGAGGTAAGGAGGCGTGATAGCTAAATGTAATATCCAACTCAAGACTGAAAATTGTATTGATGGGGAAAAAACACTATCAAAGCTGACCTTGGACCATTTGAAAAAAGGGGACTATAGAAAGTAAATAAGAATATTGTTATCATTATTAAATTTATAGAAGTTAATAACTGTATTGTCATTATTTAAGAGAATCTTCTTATTCTTAGAAAACTATATTGATATCATTAGGGTTAAAGGTCCATAATTTGTATGATTTATCTATAAATGTCCAGAAAGTCCAGAAAGTATACAGAAGTTATAAATCAATTATAGTAACATGTTGACAATAGCTTAGCCTGGGTAAAGGGTATTGACTGCTTTTTGTGCTACCTTTTTTTTTTTTTTACACATTTTCTGTAAGTTTAACATTATTTGCGAACCAAAAAGCAAACCATTTTCTTGAAAAAAGCATTGGGATATATATAAAAAACAAGTGATTTATAATACGGATCACAGACTTTTATGGATGAACCTGCTCTATGGGGGATAAGTTGGGGGTAGAATAAAAAATGCCAGTGTCCTAATTATTTTAAGACTTCCTAAGCTGGTCATATTTTTATCTCCCACAAATCTTGTCTCATACTTTCAGAACATGATTATCGTTAGTTCTCTATCTTAGTTCTTAGAGTTATAGGTTTGTCACACAGGCCTCATAACTCATGCTTTTTCTCTGACATCTGACCCCTTGAATATCTTTTGAAGCCAGGGTAATACAAGGCAGATGTTCTTCCAACTCAGACCAGAACCTTCTAGTACCTCAAACCACCTGGGCCTGGTGATATGAAAGAGGGAATCCAGGCCAACCTCAGAAGACCTGATAGGAAAGATCTTGGAGTCTGGTTTAGATTGGTCTACCCTAAAAGTTATAGACATCTTATGCAAAACTGCATAATAAAATTTATGTCTGAAAATTAAATAATAATATAGTCTTTGATTCTTTCTGGTGTATAATAGGAGCAGATTGTTCAATAGAACAAGCAGAGGAGGATTTTTTGTTTGTTTCTCTTTTTGCTCCTATTTTGGGAATACCAAAAAGAGTTATTCTAAATCACTCAGGTGTGAAACAAATGACTGCATGAAAATTGTGAAATACCTTCAATTAAAAGAAGAAAACCTGTGGGCTCTTGCTGGGGTACTAGTCTATTGTAAGAATCCCTCTATAGTTTAGTGTTTAGCATTCAGACCCTCAGTCAGGTGATACGTATGAAATTGCTCAAGAACTTCCTCTCACAATAATGTCAACTTTTTCTATATAATACAGAATGTCCAAGCTGGAAGCCACAAAAAAAAAGATGGCTAGTTCCTAAATCTGCAGAGGTGGAGACTAGAATTTAGAGATTCATGGTCCAGCTAGCTCAAATAGTTAATCTCCTTGTTCTAATTTGATAGCTCTGTCCTTTATGCCACTCAAACTGAATTTTGATACCTATGACAATTCTAATGCCATGAGGAAACACAGATAGAAAAGGAGACAGTACCTATTAACTTGTCTTGGGGTTGTTAGACTGAGTATTGTAAGAGATAAGGGCAGGTAAACGATGAGTTGCTTTTTCTCCTCCATTATTATGCTGCCTAGCAAGGAGTTGGTGTTCAATATGCGCTTATTGAATGAAGCATTAAGTGAACTGTGTTGTGATCCCACTAAGCACCTACTATGCACCGACTGTGGGTTGCACACTGCATTAAGTGCTCCACAGTCCATAAAACACAGTCCCTGGTATAGTTTGGATATTTGTCCCCGCCCAAATCCCATGTTGAAATGTAATCTCCAGTATTGGAGGTGGGGCCTGGTGGGAGGTGACTGGATCATGAGGGTAGATTTCTCATGAAGAGTTCAGCACCATGCCCTTGGTGCTGTCCTCGTGATAGTGAGGAAGTTCTTCTGAGATCTGGCTGTGTAAGTGTGTGGCACCTTCCCTCATTACCTCTCCTCTCTCTCTCTCTTGCTCTTGATTTCACCATATGATGTGCCTGCTACCCCGCTGCCTTCTGCCATGATTATAAGCTTCCCAAGGCTTCCCTTGGAGCTGAGCAGATGCTGGCACCATGTTGCCTATAAAGTCTGCAGAACTGTAAGCCAATTAAACCTCGTTTCTTTATAAATTACCAAGTCTCTGGTAGTTCTTTACAGAAATGCAAGAATGGCTTAACACAGTCTCACTAAAGGAGTTCACAGTTTACTTAAGAAAACACACAAGTAAACAGATACTTACAATATTACATGATAAGTGCAACGGTGAAGAGGTGAACTGGAGATGCTACAAAACTTTGAAATTGAAACTCTAAAAAGAAACGGGCCTACATGTGTAGAAACGGGCCTACACTACATGGCCTGTAGTGCAGCCAAAATAAGCAATTTGTAGCAAAATGTGTTATCAGTTAAGATTGGAAGCTTTGGATAACATACTTATTTCTATCATGTGGCTATTTTTTTTTTAATTGAAACTACAGAGCTATAGCATACTCCTATACATGAGGATAAGGTCAACTCTGAAGGGAATGGCTATTCCTATCAATACTATCAGACATCCTAGCAAAAACTGTCCTGCCGCAGAAAATGAACACTCAGAAGAAAGGTGTTACAGGCTGAATTGTGTCCCCACAGATATGTTACTGTATACGAAGACAGAGCCTTTACGAGGTAATTAAGGTAAAATTACATCATTAGGATGGGCCCTAATCCAATATAACTGGTGTCCCTTAAGATGAGGCCATTAGGACACAGAAAACAGAATGGGGGATAACCAGGTAGGGACACAGCGAGGAAGCCACCTGGAAACCAAGAAGAGAGACCTCAAAAGAAACCAGTCCATTGATCTCAGACTTCTAGCCGCAGAACTGAGAGAAAATACATTTCTGTTGTTTTGGCCACCTAGTCTGCGGTATTATATTATGATGGCCCTAGCAAGCTGATAAAGAAGGCTCCAGATTAAAATGAAGAAAAGTCACCTTTTCCTTCTGGAGCCAGGAGTTAGTTTGACTTTCACTCTGAGCTATTGGGATTTCTAAGGCATTTTCAGAAAAAGCTGGTAAACTAGGCCCAGCCACTGGAAGCAGGTCAGGGGTGAGGCAGAAAGTCCGAGTGGGGAAGGCACGCCAAGCTGTGTCCTGGCTTGGGTCTGAGCTGTAACTTATTCCCTGCATCGCACTCCTTTTCTGTTATGGTCAGACTTTCAATAAAATAATTATTAATATTACAACCTGATCTTTGGTTCTTTGGGGTGGTTTGCATCCTTTCACTGGAACAAGTGAAGAAGAAAAACTTCTGTGTACACTGGAGTTTCATTTTCATAAAGGAGGGTCATCAGGGAGCAGACAGCAAGGACAGCAAACCTGAGCAACTAGTGTTGAGCACACATGAGGCCCAAGGTGCACCTCTTAGGTAGGAATACCTTAGAGGGAGAGGGGCCTAATTTCAGGCAGACTAGAAGATCTCCTTGAAATTAAATTAAATGTAATATTATTTTCTATGACAGTTTAACAAATTCTGAAGCATGCAGTTGGCACGAGGAAAATGAGGGACCTATTTTGACAGTCTATACAGAATTTGATTTGGGAAGATGATTACGTCTTGGATATTCAAACTACTGGTAAAGGTGTCTGTGAGACAGTTAGATATTGAAATCTAGACGGTCTCCTTTTATATCTCTTTGGCATTTTACAATTTGTAAACTTCTTACATAGGTTTTCAAATTATTTGCCTCAAATGCTCTTTGTAAATAGGCATAGTGCTTCTAAGGTCTACTTTTTGACATGAGATCACTTTCAGATGGACAGAGAATTTCTCATCCCTATATTACATATAAACTATAAACTAAGCTTTCTCAAGGCCACTCAGTGTAAGATCTGGGACTCCTGGTCTAGTGTCTATCTCACACAAAGTATATGCTCTTAGAAAAGCCCTGAGCATCCACAATTTTAAAAATTTATTTCAGGAAAAAAGACACATTCTAATACAATATTCTACAGCCGCACTTCATAATGCTAATTTTGTTTTTCTTGATAATAATTTCTATTCCCTCATCCATTAATGGATCACTAAATGGCACTTAGAGTTTCGGTGAACCAAGTCCACGTGCAACTCTCTTTTTTAAAATGAAAGTTTAGAATAGCCTTAGACTTACAGAAGTTGCAAAGATAGTGCAGAGTTCACATATACTCCAGACTCAGTTTCCTCTACTATTAAAATCTTACATTAGTATCATACATTTGTTAGAACTAGTGAACCAATATCTATATTTTAATATTAACTAAACTCTATGTTTTATTCATATTATCTTCGTTTCACCTAATGGTCTTTTTTCTGTTCCAGGATCCCATCCAGAATGTCACATTATAATTAGTTGTCATGTCTCCTTAGGCTACTGTTGGCTGTGCCAGTTTCTCAGACTTTACCTGTTTTGGATGATCTTAGCAGTTTTAAGGAGGCCTGTCAGATACTTCATCCAATGTTCTCTAATTTGGATTTTTTGCTGTTTTTCATAGTTAGATACAGGGTTATGGCTTTGGGAGAGGAAGAACACAGAGATAAAGTACCATTCTCTCAACACATCATATCAAAGGTATATGTTTATCAAATGACTTATCATTGCTAATGATCACCTTGACTACCTGACTGAGGTAGCATTTGTCAGATTTCTTCACTGTAAAGTGACTCTCTCCTTCCCCTCCTTTCCATACTGTACTCTTTGGAAAGAAGTTACTATGTGTAGCCTACATTTAAGAAATGGGGAGTTCTATACCACCTCCATGAGGGCAGAGTATCTACAAAAATTAGGCAGAATTCTTCTGTATGGGAGATTTCTATAACTCTTCTTATTCCTAAACATGAATATATTAAAATGTTTTCATGTGTATTCAAAACATTCACAATTTTTTTTTTAATTTTGAATATGGAACTATAAAACATTCCTTCTATCTAATAATGGAGGGGGGAGAGTTTTCAGGCATAGACATAACCAGGTTCCTTTTGTAGTTTTTGTTTTGAAACACCAGATCAGGTTACTTTTCTGCTTAAAATCTTTCAATATCTTATAATCATCAAGATAGAATCCAATACTTTTGGCTATATAAAGGGCTTAGAATTTTCTTTGGAGTATAACTTTACCTCCTGTCACACTCCTATACCATCCCATGATTCTGCCATCCAAAATATTCAAAATGTTTTATGTCTCCTGAACTCAGAATTGTCTCATACTTCCAATTTTTTGCAGGTATTCTCCCAGAATGCCATTTCCTCCCTTACCTATCCAGTGAACTTTTAGTCATCTTCCAAGCTCTGTACAACATTCCAGTTGGAACTCTTCAAACTCATTGTCTTCTGATATCTGGTTTATAAAGGCCTTAGACATCCCCATATAATCCCAGAAGACTATGTGCATAAAATGTTTCTGGGAATTATCATACTGGACTGCAACCTTAGCTTTATTTTCCCTCCCCCATTAGATAGCATGCTCCAAATGCACATGCAATTAATAAACAATGAAGTTATGCTATTAGAATATACCTTCTCTTATTAGCCAACGATAAAGAATATTCTTAAAATTTCCTACATATAGGCATTGACTATTGCATATGCTCTTCTACATTGCTGATTTAGAAATAGTTTTCCAATCTGCACATTTGTTGTTCTGTAAAATTTGAACTCAACCCTAGGTCATGTGACTCTCAGCCTAGGACTCTGTCTACATCATTGTAGTGTTTCTCAGTTCGTAGCACTAGGAAGAATATCTAACACAGATAATGAAGATGGAATTTCCTGGAATAAAAGGAGGAAAATTTAAAAATCCAAAAGAATAAAAATGTCATACCAGAAAAAAAATGCAAGATTGTCTAAATCATTCCTTTGAATTATTGATAAGAAAGATACTGAGGCTAAAATTGGTAGTGTTCATCTGACAATTATACCATTTATTAATGAAAAAGCTATGAGCTAGATCATAAGGATTCTAACTCCCAACCAGAGATCTTGGAGTAGAATATGGAAAAGGTGCCAGTAAAAAGATTTGCCTGATTCTATTAAAAACATGTAAGACAAACAACTGTCTCATGATTAAGCTATTTTTTCTCTTACGGTAAATAGCTCAAAATTTCTGAGTTCTCTAGGGATAAATTTTGCGTAACAGTGTAGGTGTACAAGTTTGAATATGTGAAGTAATTTTTTTTATTATCTTCTCTTCCTTTTTTTTTTTTTAAAAAAAAAAAAAAAACAGTACCAATCTCTTAAATCAAGTCAGGTCAAATGTTGCCATAGTTGTCCTCAGGATTTTTGAATTATCAGATTCTTACTATCTCTAGGCCTTTGATTTGAAGAGCTCTTTTTTGAGTACGATATATTTTTGTTGTTTTGTTCAGTTTTTCCCCAAGATAGCTTAGAGAATAAAAATTTTTGAAAGATATGTGCAAATCTAGATGTTGACTGCTTTCAAATGACTACCACTCAGAAGTTGGGGGTAGCCTAATTACTGATGGAGTTAAGGACACACTATCCCAAAATTTGGCACCATGGCATTTGAGGAAACAGCAGAAGCAAGAAAATTGCTCTCATTTTCTCCCCGGAGGCAGGTCCTAAAAGAATTTTCTGAATTTTCTCTGAAGAAAACCTTCATGCCATAGGTTTCCTTCCTATATCTGGAGGAAAATAACATTCTTATTGTCAAAGACTTAGAGACCCCAAGAGAAATCTGAACAGGCCTTGCCAAGTTCCTCCCAGCTTATTACATTAGATCATACCCTTTTGTCCTCCAATTAACAGCGATATGATCATTTACTCTTCATCAAACTTAATATAAAAACCTACAGTTTTTTTTATTTCTTTAGGTCTTCATTTTTGAAGGCTCCTGTCTTATGTAAAATTAATTGCATTAGTCTGTTTTCATGCTGCTGATAAAGACATACTCAAGACGGGGTAATTTATAAAGAAAAAAGAGGCTTAATGGACTCACAGTTTCACATGGCTGGGGAGGTCTCACAATCATGGCAGAAGGCAAAAAGCACGTCTTACATGGCAGTAAGCAAGACAGAATGAGAGCCAAGCAAAAGGGGAAGCCCCTTATAAAACCGTCAGATCTCATGAGACTTATTCACTTCCTCGAGAACAGTATGGGGGAAACCAACCCCCATGATTCAATTATCTCCCACTGGTTCCCTCCCACAACATGTGGGAATTATGGGAGCTACAATTCAAGATGAGATCTGGGTAAAAACACAGCCAAACCATATTACTAATATTTAACAAATGTGTATGCTTTCCTCTTGTTAATCTGCCTTTTTTCTTGGTGCCTCAGCTATGAACCTAGATGAGAAAAGAAATCTCTTTCCCTCTATATTACCTACAAGTTATTTACATGTTATTTTTTTCTCTTAACCATAACTGATATTTAGTAGGACACATATGTATGGTCTAAATATTGTAGGTTGGTAAATATCTCCTGCTTCAAGAACTTTGAGTGGCCTATGCCAACTCTGGTTGCCTTGCCTAACCCTCTCTCAATACCCCATACCTCCTCATGATATAAGGTTAGCTCTAGAACCCTGAGATGGAAAGCATTCTATTGTAATTTGTTGATATCTCTACCATACCAATTGTTAGTATTTGTATTACCAACTATTCTCACAGCTGAATTCAATACTGAATTCTTTCAGAGGTGTTTTGACACTTCAGATTCTGAAATTATTTAGCATCTCTTAGCCATTAGTTCTCAACCTCCAAAATGATACGTGCCTTGCAGCGTTGTGAAAACTAGTAATTTATGCAAAATACTCAGCACATAGTAGGTGCTTCCAAAAACACAATTCTTAAATACTAAAAAAAGAAGAAAAATGAATATTTATATCTTTCTTCATATATATGCATTATGTGAGAATACAATTCACTTACCAACTGAAATAGAGAGGTAGGAGTTTCGGAAAATCAGGAGAGAAAGAGAAAGTTCTTCTACAGTATTAATAATATTTTATAGATGTTATAGTTGTACATGGTACAGGGAGGACCTTTCTTTTCTTAAAAAATTAGTAATAGCAATTTAATGCTGAATATGATATGATCTCCGTTTCCAAGGAATTTAAAATGTATTATATAGTGTTTTCTTATAACCAGCCAAATACATAATTCAGAATAAGGTCAGAAACTTTATGATGGTTGAGTTACTTCCAATCATTAGCACCATGGTTGGGCTTTGTCACTTCAATATTTACTGAGCATATTCCATAGAGCAGGCAATATACCAGGCACTGGGGAATATAAGGATGAATAAGACTATGTCCCTAACTTCGAGAAGCTCATCAGTTAATACAAAGTATAGACCTATAAGTTATTGTAGCAAAATGAGATAGATGCAAAATAATAGAAGTACTGTCCGAGAGAATATGAGGAAAGCTTCACAGAATACGTGTGCCTTGAGGAATAGGTGGAAGGGGAATTAGCCAAGTTTTTGGAGGAAAGGAAGACATTCTAAACATACTGGACTGTTTTTATGCACTGATGTGTATCAGAGAGCAATCAAAGCCACATCCAGCCCTTGTTCCCAATGTCATTACTCCCTTCTTTGTGTAGTTTTAGTTCCAGAGCTGGGATAATTTTTGGCATTTGACTTGCTCTGCTATATTTTTAAGCCTACCTCAGTATATTCATGTTCTTGTTAAATACAGTTTAATGGAATAGAAAAATATTTTCTGTAAAAATATTATCCCACCAAGAAAGCATACTCAATAATGAACTAAGCATTTCAGTTCTTTTAGTTGAATTTTTCTATTCAGATTTCATAATATACAGGTGACAAAGTAATAACAATTATGGCCATTTAATAGTATTTTCTCCTATTTCCTAGGGAAGGCAATTTATTTTCAAATTCATAAGCTGCAAATGGAGAGTTATTATTATGGTAATGGACTAAAATGCAAAACAAATGTCGTCATGACATGTGGAAAAACATTCCTACAACGCTACCCAGCAAAGATTTGCACTTCTATGGATATTAAAAATATATGCTCCTTTATCAACATGCTCAGTTATTTATTCCACACATATTTCCCAGTGCTTCTTGTGTGCTAGACATTCTGATATAAGGATGGAAATGCACAGTTCTGGACTTCAAGATTCTAATTGAGGAAAGAAATATTAACACTCTCTCATGGGGTCATTTTTTTAACCTGAGTCTTGCACAAAGGGGATGGTCAGAGGGCTCATTTATATTTGCCTAGTGATGTCAGGGAAGGTCTCGGAAGAGGTGAGAGCTGAGGCTGATGGGATAAGTGGAGTTTTCCAGACTAATACATACGGAGAGGGCGTCCCAGACAAAGGGAACAACACCTGCAAAGAAGCAAAGCAGAGAGTTATGCAAGTGCAGGCGGAGAGAAGAGAAGGAGAGAAGGGTTCAGAGAACTAAAACTGAATATGAAGGTGGAGAAAGATGGGCCGTATTTCAAGTTCTGAGGCCACAGAGTCACAGCTGTAACAATGGTTCTTTTAGAAAGATAATTCTTTGAAAACATCCTCTTCCCATGCCATATTTCAGTCACACACCTTCAGGTTCAACCTGTCTTGTGTGAATTATTTACCTTAGAATAACCAAGAGGTAGCTAGTGCATTTACCCTCTGGCGGTCCCTTAAGACTAACTTATTAGGAGAGCAAAGATGATTTCTACCTTGTTAACCACTGTACTTCTAGGGCCCAGGACAGCATGTGGCTCATAATTGGTACTCATTGAAAATTTGTGGATTGAATAAATAAGAGGAAAAATTGATTACTGACCTAATATCATTATGGCTCTGGCAACTATTAGCTGCATCTCCTTGGGAAAGTGCTTGACATCACAGCGCATCATTTTCAGCTGTAACATGTGTGTGCTACACTCCTCTTGATACTGTCAGGATTAAATTGGGTTGTTTATGTGAGAGTCAATACAAATGCCTAACCGATAAAACATCTTTAATGTGTAATACATGTTGTTTCCAATCCCTTTTTTTTTAAATCATTCTCTTTGTCTTATATACCAATTTAAATATCCTATTAAATAGCCAAACAAAGGAAGCAATCAAAATAGCAACCAAATCTGCCCTGCAATCTGCACCTCCCACACGCCTCACCAGCACTGGTCTATCACTTTCCATTTCACTGTCGAACATCTGGTAAAAATGATTTAAGTTCACTATGAACTTTCTAAAGGACATGTTTCAAATCTTAACATGCAGGCCTTTGCTTCTAAAATTCCCTTTGTAATGTTTTACTCTTTTAAATTTTACGATAAGTGGTCTTCTAATTGCCAAATCTACTCATCTTTTCTCTTACCAGAACTCTTGGCAGGAAGTTCTTTCTCTTTCCTTGGTCCCTTCCCTAACTCTCGAGAAAACGAAAGCTTCTTGTTCCCTGCCTCTTCTTCTGTCAGTCCCTTAAATTTAGACACTTCTCAAGGCGGCATACTTTTTTCTCCCTTTTTTCTCTCATAATTCTACATAGACTTGGTTTCACAGCTTTGTTCTAGTCTCCCAGTAGCCACTGACAACTAGCCCTGTTTTCTTCATAATGACTAACACCACCTGCCCAGCATCCTCTGACATCTCTGCATGAGAGTGGAAACATTCTTCTACATCACTCTGGTAAAGACAAATCCTCTTACTGCCCCCTTTTCCAACCTGGTTCTCCTCTTATGTATATAAGAAAGGCAATTATCTTCCTCTTTGAAATTGTGATCATTTTCTGGTTCCAAAAATTCTTCCATTCTCACAGAGTATTCACTCATTTTCGAGAATTTTAACTTTACAGCATAGTAGGCACTCTTCCACATAGCCTCTCACCTTTCTCAGATAATTGCAACAGTTTCCTCCCAACTCTAATTTTTATCTTCTCTATGCTATACTCTATAGCCAAAGCAGCTCTGTATAAAGCACAGATCTATTCATATCATTCTCCAGTTGGGCCACATTTAATTGTTCTTATTATTAAGAAAGAAAAAAAAAAAATATCACCCAAGGCATTTCAGCCCTGCAGCCAAATCTTTGAAACACCTCAGGCAACCTTCTAAAAGTGGAGAAAATGAGAAGGCTTGCCTTCACCTCAATTCATTTTCCCTTCAGATATCTGAGTCCTGTAAGACTCATTACCATTCCCGTGTGGCCTCTCACCTTGCTGACTTGGCCTCTGCCATCTCTTCTGCCTGGAACACCATCAGTCTCCGCCAGCTGCACTTCTGTCACTTACCACAGCCCAGATTCTACCTCTTCAAGGTTAGTCTGGGGTCTTCAGTGATATTTTCTAACACTCAACACATTAAACAAATTATTTTTCTAACGTTTAGAGTTAGAAACAGTCTCCCTCATAAGTGCGTTTTATACCCATGCTCAGAAATAAGTTCGAGTGATGGTTATCTTTCGTTCACTCGGTCTGTTATTTTAGGCTGCTGCGTTATCATCAGCATTAGAGCAGGATCGTTGACTTTAGGTAAAGAAGGTTTATTACTTCAAATTAGACCTTCTGATGAGATTCAAATTCTCCCATATAATTATTGCCAGCAAGAAATGATCCACCACCGTACATTTAATTGCGGTCTTATTTTTTTCAAGGGGGCTGCAGGGAGGGGGAGAATTACATGGGGAGATTGATTCATTGAAGTGAGTCAGGTAAACAGCGTTTAGTGCGGAGGGATTTAAAGGTTCATCCGTTTCTATTTATTCCTGTAACTTAAGAGCCCAATTAAGTATAATGGGTTAAAGTATTAAAAATCGGTTTGATTATCACTACTTACTCAGTGAGACACTGATTAAAGCTTAGGGAAAAGACAATTCTATTCATAGAGCTGAGAGAGGGAGAAAGATCAGAAATTGTTTATGGGCACTTTTCACCTTATATTTACAAGGATTTTAATGAGGGGAAAATAAGGAAAATAGAAAATTTGTTCTTCAAAGGCTGACCTAATAAGTGGAGGAGGCAGTGACAATGCTGTGTTACTTTTAGGGTGTGACAGCATGTACATTCCAGTTGCCAAACATATGCCTCATACCAGCTTGCCCCATCTGTGCTCCCTGAAAGATAGTATCTTTTCCTGAAATAAAAATGTGCTTTCTTCTTTTCCTTGTCCCTCCTACCACCACTGAGTTGTGTCATTTCAAATTATTTTAAGCTATAAATTCTTCCGTGAAATTAGTTTAACCAAGATGTCAAAGTGACAAAACAGCGTATTGGAAAGAGCACTGAATATGAAGTCACAGAGAATTGATCTAAAGTCCTAATTGTGCCTCATTCTTTCTTTCCTTCATTCATGCAAGAAATGTTTTATAAGCCAGCTATGGGACCTTGGCCAAGTTAATTAACCACACTAAGATTTAGTTTCCTCTTTGTGTAATATAGATATAATCACTATGGCTTGCCTGGCAGGATTGTTGTAAGGATCGCATAAAATTATTAAAGTGAAATCACTTGTACATTCTAAAACACTATGTGAATCCTCACATTTTGATGCTGAGAGAATAGTGAAATGGGAAACCTTAAGGTCTTCAAATCCTGTCTTGCTTGTGTACCGTTTTACACAGTTCCACCCAGTGAGCACTTACTACATGGAGTGTATATACTAGAAGGTTCAGGAATACATAGGAATACATAAGAATACATAGCAATATATGTATTATGCCATGATCTCTCCCTAAGGGAAAGGGAGGGGAGAGGTAGAAGTATTTACCCAGTGCAATAGTAATACAAGACAGCAGAAGCCAAGAGTTAAATAGTCGATGCAGACAGTAAACATGTGGGTTTACAGGGAAGATGGTGTGGGGAAGGCTGCAATACTGCCTCATTGGACTCTCATGTCACTGAAGGGGACACAGTGTCCAAAGGGCTCTCATGGCTAGTTAGGACACAGCCACACAGCCAGCAGCCGATTCCACCTGGCTGCTCTCCCTGAGAAGTACCTCCAAGGTAAGACCCTGGAAATAATCCCAGAAAAGAAGGAGCGATGAGTTCTGGACTGATGATTTGGTGGAAAACACAGCCCTCTAAGAGTGTGGGATAAGAAGGAGGCTCTGGCTTCCTTTGCAAATACACTACTCGTCCTTCCTCTCCATCTTAAGTCACTCCTTGTCCTGTTTCCTCTCTTTCATTCTTCTTATGACTTCTATGCTCTCATGTACTCTATGCTCTGTGGTAGAAAAGGGGTGCTGTGTACACACAAAATAAAAGTACCTGTGGGTTCTGGAGGAAGATCTAGCTTACTCCACAGCTTACCCTTCAAAGCTCACAACAACACACTGAGCGATCCCCTTAAACTCTGTGTACCTCCGTTTCCTCTGCATAAGGGGAATAATGCTTACCTAGTAAGGAAGGCAATGTTTAACAAACTGACTTTGTTTTGGCTTATAATAGGTACTTAATACATACCTCAATAAATATTACTGTTTATTGTTGGTTGTACCAAAGAATACCCACTGTGGGGTTGGGGGTTACCCTAAAAGCCTTTAACATAGCATTCTTTTTAACGTAATATTATAGCAAATCTTTCCCCTTACCTCACTTCAAAATATGTACTTTGTATGAAACATCCAAAGTTGATCAGAATACTTAATAATTTTAAAGCAAATTCTATAGCTTTTATATTGAATAAATCACATAATTGGATCATTTCTACATTACTAATATTTTGATATTATTAGTTTCGTGGACAAAAAAAGGAGAAGTTGTTTGAACTGATAGATTCAAAATAGTTACTTATTCTTTAAATGATTTTTTTCTAATAAAAGAGCTATTTTTTCTCTCTCTCGCTTTAGCTGCTAGGAAGCTCAGAGTCAAACCAAACTCTCAAATCCACCAGGTATTACCAGATCCCAGTTTTCTTCTCTTTGTCCAGTTTTACAAACCTTATTGAGAGTTATTCTTTTTATAAGTTGCCTCACACACTAGCCTAGTATCTTTAAGAGACCAACCATAGATAACTGTCTATTACACTCCATCCATACATGAACTGTATTAGGCTGTTCTCATGCTGCTAATAGAGACATACCTGGGACTGGGTAATTTAAAGGGAAGAGGTTTAATGGACTCACAGTTCCATATGGCTGGGGAAGCCTTACAATCATGGCAAAAGATAAAGGAAGAGCAAAGGAACATCTTACATGGCAGCAGGCAAGAGTGCTTGTGCAGGGGAACTCACATTTATAAAACCATCAGATCTTGTGAGACTTATTCACTACCACGAGCACAGTATGGGCAAAACTGCGCCCATGATTCAATTATCACCACCTGGTTTCACCCTTCAGATGTGGGAATTATTACAATTCAAGTTGAGATTTGGGTGGAGACCCAGCCAAACCATGTCAATGACCTAGCACTGAAAAATCCATTTTAACTGAGAAGCCAGGTGCTATAATTGTAGAAAGAGTACAACCCAATGAAGTCTAAATCCAAGTAACATGTACATAGGCAAAACAGTCATTGTTTGCAAAGAAACAGATGACTGTGAATTGATTTAACCTGAATATCATTTAGCCACTCATAAGTTATTATTTTTACCATTTGATTATTCCTCAAGACTGTGACAGCTCTGGCATCCTCAGTTCATAGTTCCCGAGGTTGCCCTTGAGATCATCTCCTTTCCCAAGTTGAAAGGAGCAAAACCCATAGAGGAACATGTGGAATTGTTTTATGTTCATGGCTACAAGTTGTATATATCATTTCTGATCATATTTTATTAGCTACAATTCAGTCATATGACCAATCTAACCACAAAGGACACTGGAACTACCTCTCTAGCTCATAATAGTAGTCTAGACCGTACGGCTAAAACCACAAGTCTACATCAGAATTTACTTTTACTTACAAAGAGTTTATTGATAGAAAGCATCACAATTTAAAAATGCACTGCCATGCACCAGTGCATTTCATCTTGTGAACCATAGTGTAGTAGCTAATTTAAGGACTTTGGATTCAGAGTTTTCATTTCCCCATGGGAAATTACTTAAACCTGCTATATTTCTCTTCAGGTCTGTTTTAGTCTTTGTAAAATGGGCTTTGTCATCAAATAAACCTGCAGTTAAATCCTGGCTCTGGCATTGACTGCCAGGAGGTTTGGGAGATGTAATACTTTTAAAACATACCCCCAAAGTTTTCAAGTGAAAATTGTTTCTATCAAAAGGTAGGGATTATGCGTTTCTCCTTGAATCTGGGCCCTATGACTGCTTGACTGAAAGAGTATGGAGGAAGTGATGCTGTACCAGTTTCTGGCACAGGCTTTATTAAACTGGCAGCCTCCATTTTTTGTCTCTTAAGATGCTTACTCACGAAATCCAGCTGGCATGCTCTGAAGAAGCCCAAGAAGTCCTTGAAGAAACCCATGTGGAGAGAAACAGCTGGTCCTGGTCTGCACTCCTGGCCATGTGGGTGAGCCACATTGAAAGCGAATCCTGCAGGTCCCAGTTGAATGCCTCCCCAGATGTCTGGTGGATCCAAGAAGGGCTGTCTCAGCCAAACTCTACCTTATTTGTGAGCAGATAAATGACTGGTATTGTCTAAAGCAAGTAAGTTTTGAGATGATTCGCTTCAGAGCAATAGATTACTAGAACAAGAGAGTTTTGTTTATTCTGTAGGAAGAGCTACCATTAGATTGTTGGCCAATTTCAGAAGAATTTCTATGCCTTACATGAATGTTACAAAATCATTTTACTTAAAATTCAGCCTATTCAAAATTTTATAAATTTCAATCAGCTTCCTCATCAGACTTCATTAATAAAATAAATGATAATACTTATTGTTTATTAAATTAATCTGTACTATACACCTCATGGGAGCATTTCAGATTTTCTAATTTGATTTCATAATAATTATATAGAATTAATATATTAATAATATATTAATTCTATAAAATATTAATATATTATTAATATATTAATTCTATAGAATTATATTTTTTTAAATTACTGATAAGAAAACTTAGGCTTAGGGAAACTACATAGTAATTAACATCATCTGGATAGGCACACTGATGAGTAAACACTTAAGCCTATATCCTCCCGCCTGTTTCATGCTACTTTTTACGTATATTATCTGATAAATAATAACTAAAAATCAATCATGACAGCAATGACTGAATGGGCTAAGAAAAGGAAATGGCTTTAGTAAGACTTTATTGACAAAGTTAGCCAAGTAGCAGAGCTTTCTAGACAGACAAAACAGTATAAGCAAAGGCTCTGAGGCATGCCATTTTTTGCCAGGGAGCTGCATATATTTTAGTATTATTGGGATTTTGAGTTTCTAGAACAGAAAATGTACGAA